>NC_000010.11:4858484-5010000 GCF_000001405.40 Homo sapiens | reverse complement strand
GATGAGGGCAAGATTTTATTGAGTGGTGGAGGCAGCTCTCAGCAAGATGGATGGGGAGCCGGAATGGGGGAATGAGTAGGAAGGTGATCTTTCCTTGGAGTCAGGCTGCCCAGTGGCCGGACTCTTCTCCAATCCTCCTAGGCCAAATTCCTTTCAGTGTCCAATGTCCCTCCTCTTCTCTCTTTCTGTGTGTCATTGTTCTGCCGTCCATCTGGTTGCCTCCTTGTCTCCTCACCTGCTGGTCTGCCCAGGAACTTAGGCTTTGGGGGTTTATATAAGGGCAGAATGGAGGTGTGGTGGGCCAAAAGGCAAATTTTGGGGGCGTGAAAACAGAAATGCCTGTTCTCATTTAGGGGCACGAGTATCCAGGCTTAAAGGTGGGGGCCTTTGCTGGGAAACCACCCTCTTCTACCCAGTATTTCCCTGTCTCCTGTCCATATCACATGGAGTTTAAACCATTCAGAAATAGTTTTTTCTCACCTGGTTTTATGCTAACCAAAACAACTATAATATTAATACTTTTCTCTTTACAACCTCCCCTGCTTGTTGACCTATCTAGGAGTGGTCGCAAGGTGTGCAAGCTGCTGAGTCACCCTGACTGCATCAACCCCAGGAGCTTGAGGGGTGAACAATAGTATTGAGCAATAGTAAAATAACAAACAGTGCAGACAAGGCAGACGTCTCAAAAAGTGCTCGGTGCAATTGTCACTCATCCAGAGTCAACATTGGTGACACAGTTGTTTCTTCAAACAGAGTTCACTCTGAAAAAACTGAGCAAGGTGGAATTTACTTTAAATTTCATGGGTTGTGAAATTTCAACTAATGTCATAATTAAAACTTCCTACATATTGCTTTAGGCATCTCTGTCTTTTCCCCAAAATTTTCTCCATGGCATCAGCAGTACCTCAGCCTCCTCCACAGCCTCCCAGCTCTTCCTTTTTCCTCCTGCACGGCTTTTGGCATCCCACCATTTTCCACAGCAATGCAGGCTAACTGTGAGCTTCCACAGCCTCTCACAGACATGACTTCACCCACAAACCTCTGTGAGGCTCAAGTGTACCCCTTTTTGTTCACATAGAACCTCTTCACCCCAGAGAATTGAGTCAACCAAACAGGAAATCTCAGGACAAACAGTGCTGGCAAACATCATTTTGTTTAAAGTATCATATCAATATGTATTTGTTGAGAAAATATTCGGAGTTCTTTGCAAACTGTAACACTTGTTCAGAAAAAATAGTGAGAAGAAATTAGGATCATTTATTTACTTGAGGCACATGAGTGTTCTTTATGTATGACTCAAGGACATCCCACTTCTGTCCTCCCTGATCTTCCATCTTCCATCTGCTTTCCTCCCTCTTCCCATCTCCCTTTCCTCATATTCCTCTCCCTCTCCCTCACCTATAGGACTGAGAATTCCTGTGGTCTCCTGAGATCAGTTTCTTTCCACCAGATTGTAAACAAGCTGTGGAAAGTTTTAGTTCTTAGCGACTCCACGACCCACACTAGTCAGGCAGAAGCCCCCATGTACAAGGTACCCCTTGAGCCTTGGCAAGGTGCATGACACACACTTGGTCACTGGAGGAAATGATGAGTAGAGAGTGACAAGCAGAGGAGGGGAGCTTTGGGCCTGAGTCCTCTGGGGCACAAGAGTGGTTGAGGCTTGGCACTTGCCACCTAGATTTCAGACAATGTGTCAGGAATCCTGGATGCCCAGAAAGAAACCTGCTCAGGGTCTGGAGCCCCAACATAAAGCTTTTATTTAGGCAATGTTGAGCACTAATATGTGGTTGGAGCTCTGCAGGGGGTCTCCATGGGTGCACTGTGTAGCAAAGCTGTGGGAGAAAGGCCTTACCCCTCAAAATTCCAGAATTATAAATCTATCAGCCGCTTGCAACTTCAGCCTGGAAAAGCCATGGGCATTAAACTCCAAACTGTGAGAGCAGCCATGTGGGCTGCACCCTGCAAAGCCACAGGTACAGTGCTTCCCAAAGCCCCCAGAAGCCTACCCCTGTCACCAGTGTGCCCAGAATGAAGAATATAGAGTCAAGGAAGTTGATTTTGCAGCTTTAAGATTTAATTTCTGCCCTGTCGGCTTTATGACTTGCATGAAGCCTCTTCCTCTTCTCTTTAAGCTGACATTTCCCTTTTGAAATGAGATTGTTCAACCACTGCCTATAAAACCATTGTAATTTGGAAGGAAATAACTTGTTTTTGATTTTACAGGCTCATAGCCGGTAGAAATTTTTCTTGGATCTCAGATAAATCTTTGCATTTTAGACATTTAAGTTGATTCTAAACCTGATAAGGCTTTAGAGACTCTTGAGGTAAACTGATTGGATTTTGTATGTAAGAAAGACCTGAAATTTATGTCTGCAGCTTTTTCTCCTTTATATCCTCAACTAACAATATTTTGGGGTTTCTATGATTCTTTGCTAAAATCTGGATTCCCGTTTCAATTTCTCTTGTGCATAATCTGTAATTATTTTCTCTGTAGTTACCATTGGAATGACATACTGCATCCTATAGTTATACCATCCACTCTGAAATCAATGTGAATTTAACTTCAGTTCCATACAGAAACTTCTTTTCCACAGGTACGTTTCTGCTTCACATTATTGATGTCACTAATTACAACTTTATATATGGTGTACATGTTAACAGAAAGTTATTCTTATTGTAATGTAAATCTTGAAGAAAATGAAAGTAAAAGCAAATTTCACAAATACATGTTTCCACGTTTTTCATACACCTACCTTTACGAGAGGTCTTTATACCTCTATATGACTTCACGTTGCTGTCTAAACTTCTTTCATTTCAAAGTGAATGACTCTCTTAAGCATTTCTTGTAGAGCAGTTCTAATGGCAATGAACTCCTGCAGCTTCTACATCACATAGTCTTACTAACTTTCTAATTTTTAAGAAATAATTTGGCTGGGTGCAGTGGCTAATGCCTGTAATCCGAGCACACTGGGAGGCCAAGGTGGGCGGATCACAAGGTCAAGAAATAGAGACCATCCTGGCTACCATAGTGAAACCCTGTCTCTACTAAAAATACAAAAATTAGCTGGGCATGGTTGTGCACGCCTGTAGTCCCAGCTACTCAGGAGGCTGAGGCAGGAGAATTGCTTGAACCGGGAGAAAGAGATTGCAGTGAGCTGAGATGTACCACTGCACTCCAGCCTGGTGACAGTGCAAAACTCCGAAAAAAAAAAAAAGAGGCTGAAATAATTTTTTTGCCAAATATGGATTCGGTGAAATTTTTTTTTATTGATCACATTAAATATATCACCTACTATATCCTCCAAAGACTCTCATAAGAAATCTGTGGATCACCTTGTCCAGGATCCCTTGTACCCCATGAGTCATGTTTATCTTCGTACTTTTTATTTTTGTTGTTGTTTTTTTCAGATGGAGTTTAAGCCCAAGCTGGAGTGCGATGGTGCAATCCCAACTCACTGCAACCTCTGCCTCCCAGGTTCAAGCTATTTTCCTGGCTTAGCCTCCGGAGTAGCTGGAATTACAGATGTGCGCCCCCATGACCAGCTAATTTTTTCTATTTTTAGTAGAAATAGGGTTTCACCATGTTAGCCAGGCTGGTCTCGAACTCCTGACCTCAGGTGATCCGCCTGCCTCGGCTCCCAAAATCTCTTGTTATTTAAAGATTATCTCTTTGTCTGGCTTTTAGAGTTGGATGATAACACATATAGGTCTGAGTCTCTTTGACTTTATGCTATATGCAGTTCTTTAAGTTACTTGAATTTGTAGATTTTTGTCTTTAACCAATTTGAAAAATTTTGATGATTTTATTCTCCAAATAATTTCTCTACTACCATGGGTTTGCACTTCCCCTTCTGGGAATCCAATACTATCATACTGGTTGGCTTGAAGGTGTCCCATAAGTCCCTTAGGACCTGTTCACATTTCTTTATTCTTGCTTCATGTCCTTAGACTCAGGAATTTCAAGTGTGCTATCCCTATGTGTATTGATTATATCTTCATCCTGCTCAAATTTGCTATTGAAACACTCTCTGGTGAGTTTTTCATTCAGGTATATTTTTTAGCTCCAATTTGTTTCCTTTTCTTTTTATAATTTCTGTATTAATACTATATTGTGATTTTCTTATTTTTTCAGATTTTCTGTAGTTCTTAATCCATATTTTTCATTAGCAATTTTAGCATATTTAAGACAGCTGTTTAAATGCTTCTCTACTAATTCTAATGCCTGTGATTCTTCAGGAATGATTTCTACTGATTTATTTCTTCCTCATAATGGACTGTGATTTCTTGTTTCTTTGTATGCCTTGTCATTTTATTTTTTTGAGCTGGAGTCTTGCTCTGTCACCAGAATGGAGTGCAGTGGTGCCATCTCGGCTCACTGCAACCTCTGCCTCCTGGGTTCAAGCGATTCCTCTGCTTTAGCCTACCGAGTAGCTGGGACTACAGGTGCTCACCACCACGTCCATCTATTTTTTTTTGGATTTTAGTAGAGACGGGGTTTCACCATGTTGGCCAGGATGGTTTCCATCTCCTAACCTCGTGATCTGCTCACCTTGGCCTCCCAAAGTGCTGGGATTACAGGTGTGAACCACCGTGCCTGGCCTGTATGCCTTGTTATTTTATTTAACTGGGCATTTGAAAAAATAAACATCTTTTTTACTGTATATAGATTTGTTCTATGTCATGACAGTCATTAACTTATATGTGCGGCAGGTTCTCAGTCAAGGCATCAGCCCTACGTAAAACTCAAGTCCTTCTTAGTTTGTTTCTGAACATGTACCTATGTGGACTGTGTTTGCCCTTTTATATTTCCCCAAATAACCAATGGCTTTTGAATTGCTTACTATTATGAAATTTTGCATCCCAGTTTCTCCTCAATAGCTTAGATGGACTATTGCATGTCTCTTCCCCTGGCCTTTTGCCTATAACATCTGTATGTGTATAGTCACCCTGAATCTCTACTGAGCCACTCCAGAAATAAATAAGTTTATTTCAGTCAATTTTAGGTATTTTCTGATGTTTCCATGAGTTATATGGGAATCTTAGAATCCACCATCTTGTTGAAATTACTCTGTGAAAAATTTCAATATCTTTATAATATTACATTTATGTCAATGATAACAATTTACCTATTTTTCAATTTCTGTTTGTTTTATGAGAAAGCAAATAGAAGCAATCAGGGCACTGCAAGTTGTGACTACTCCAAGATGTGAATCATGGATCATGCAAATTACAATCTTGTTTTAACCTGACCTCCAAAGGGAGAATAAAGTAAAAATTATCCCATGTGAGGATTATTCACCAGTTTATATGTCATTAGTTACCAGTTTTTCTTTATGAATAATGTTTAGCAATATTATAAAGTATATCTAATAGTTATCAGGTTTTTGGCTTGTTACTTTTTGGTAGTAACTTATAAAACTGACTGGAAAAGACCAATAAGGCACTGTTTGCATGTTACAAATTATATCCAAAGACCAAAAGCTGTTAATAAGAAATCTTCCAATAAAACCACATCATATTTTCTTTTTTATTTACACCCACATCAGGATTACAACTTTATCAGGACTGCACCTTGATCAGGAAGGGATGTTTCTCTTACAAGGCTAATAAGAAAGGAACAATAAATTTGCTGATGAAAAAAAGTCATGCATTTAAAAATTTTAACTTTAATTTTTAATTGAGGGCAATATTTTAAAGAAATGCTCATTAGTCATTCCTTTAAATTGTGTGTGTGAGAGAGAGAAAAATGAAAATTAGTCATTTCAAATGCTGCAAGATGCAGAAGGAACTCATCATCATGGCACACACAAAAAAGAGCTGTGCCGCTAGAGGTTTCTATATTCTTATGTAAAGTCACAATTTGTTCTACAAATCTCTTTGAGTAATTTATGTCTCATATATAGAGATCTGGAATAGCAAAAATACTTCAGAGGAAATTAATGAGTGTATCATGACCACATAATAATTTACTTATGAATTTTCTTAGGTAAGAAACGGTTGAACTGGATGCAATTTTTATCACAGCTTGTGTAAGACTGCCTCTGTCCCTCCTCTCACATGCCATTGGTTAACCAGCAGACAGTGTGCTCAGGGGCGTTGCCAGCTCATTGCTCTTATAGCCTGTGAGGGAGGAAGAAACATTTGCTAACCAGGCCAGTGACAGAAATGGATTCGAAATACCAGTGTGTGAAGCTGAATGATGGTCACTTCATGCCTGTCCTGGGATTTGGCACCTATGCGCCTGCAGAGGTAACAATAATATTTTTAGTGTTGAGAGTTCAAAGGAGCTAGAGTAAGTGGAAGCTGACCAGGTTGTCAGGCTTGTGTTCCTATGTTACTCTGCATGACTCCCCTTTAAACGTCAGTCTTTGTTCTGCAATGCCGTCTTGTCACAGGGTCATCTACTGCTTATTTGTGGCACTGTTTTGTCTTCTGTTTATGTTTATTTCACAGCTTGTCAGAGTCTATAAAACTCAGCAGAAAGAACACGGCTTGCCTGCTCCCTCTCTTGAAGATTGATTGCAATGGGAGTGGTTTCTCTGTTTCTTTGTATAGTCGAACAGATATTTACTTCTTCCAAGAAGATACAATTCAGAGGAATTTTTATGGCAAAAGTTAGTGGAGACGGGGTGGATGAAATCTGTTGGGAGAGTATCACTGTTCTGATGGGCGGCCTTGAGCACCACACTGTAATACTAGACCTGGCCTAAAGAGAATTTCCCATGTACTATTCTCACCTCTGGGAAAATTACCTGAAATAATAAAATATCCTCATTTTAAGAAAAAAAAAAAAAAACTAGAACCAAACAAGGAAAGTTTAAATTCTTTGTCTTTGTTAATATGGGTCAGATTTGTATCAAAATATTGTAACAGAAAAATTTCTTGTTTCTCTGACAAGAAAATTAATGGAATATATTTTATTTTCTAGATTTAGAAATAGCTAAATGCTATTTCTACACTGGAAGAAAACTTGTATCTCAAGACTGTCTTGGGAATACAATGTGTGTGAATAGGAACTAGTTATATAAAATTTGAGTCTCACATTTCTCATCTATAAGACATAAGGAGTTACAAAGGGACATTTTGAAGACCATTGACAGGAGTGGTTTATTTTGTAATATAAATTGGCATGGAGAGGAAGTAAAGATGAGGATACCACTGAAGCTCCGGCCTTGGTAAGCCTTTGATTGCTTGCACAGCGAAGAGAAGATCAAAGATGGTATGAGGAGAGGGCTGTGAGACCCGGTATCTAGTTCCTTGTAATTTCACAGGAAAAAGCCTCTGAAATACTTTCAAGGTGGGAAGATAGTTTGCTTTGTTTCTGTTTTTGTCATTTAAAAGATATACTGTCAAATCTGTATCCAAATTTGTTACATAAGTCAATAATTGTAAATTTTACTGCAATCATATGTTTCCTGACAGAGTTGCCTTGAATTTATGGAGCTGAACCCCATTTTGCTAATCACTTACTCCCTGCAGCCTATTTCTTACATACACAAATCAATATCCTTAGAGTATACATCTTTACTCCTAGTATTTGGTTCTGTTATGCAGACAGAATGGCCAAAACCTGGGTAGAAAAGATCTAACATAATAGACTGCTATCCATAGATGTGCCTATTTCCAATATAAACCTGCTGGCATCTGAGAAAGTGGAGTTCTCCCTGTTTCCTAACTGATAAGAATGGTGGCTCTACGTAACTGTTTGTGTAAACTGTGGGGTTTCTGTGCACCTGCTTTGCTTTTGGAGACTGGAAGATTTGTGTCTGCTAGGCAGAGTGAGTCAATGTATCCAGTCCCAGACAAAATCTTAGCAATGGAGTATGTAGAGGGCATCTCTTGTAGACAACAGTTCACATACATTGACAAAATATGATGCTGGATAAAGTCAGTGCGCTCTGTGCAACATGGTGGGAGAGGAATCACAGGAGCTTACACTGCATTCCTTCATAATTCCTTCCATGTGGCTATTTCCTTGTGTTAATTTCACCATACTAAAAATAATTAAGATTATGTCTGTAACTATAGTTGCGTCCTGTTGATTTTTCCAAAAAATCACTGAAAGTGAAATTGTTTTGGGGACACTTCCAAGCTAGTGGTCAAGCAGTGATTTTTCTGGGACTGCAGAAGTTCCTGCTATGCCCAACCTTTATTACTAAATGGGAAAGACCCAGTCAGACTGGGATGGGCTTATGATTCTACATACAGAGCTCATCCAAGAAAGGAGGAAAAGCTGATTTTTGTGAACGTTGCTGCTTGTGCCCGAACTAACTCTCAGGCACATTAGTCAGAAAATATTACGTTTGGTTGCTCCCCCAGGTTCCTAAAAGTAAAGCTCTAGAGGCCGTCAAATTGGCAATAGAAGCCGGGTTCCACCATATTGATTCTGCACATGTTTACAATAATGAGGAGCAGGTTGGACTGGCCATCCGAAGCAAGATTGCAGATGGCAGTGTGAAGAGAGAAGACATATTCTACACTTCAAAGGTACTGTGCCTATGATGAGCTTGTGTGCACATGTATTTATTGTGATTGTGTGGAGGTGGCAGTTCTATGACTGGATCCATAGTTGAGGGTGAATTGTGCTTATTTATTTCGATTTATTCACACTTACTCATGTATTAAAACTAATATCAAAGGCAGGAAGTGAAGATGGCTTTCTCATCTTTGCAGTGTTCCAATTCATGCCTTCAAAGTGCCTTTACTCTTCGAGCTCAGCACAGATCAATATGGTTTAACATAGACTATAGAATGAGAGATAATCTTAATCATATTATGTTATCTGTTACCTCCTGGGTGAGTTTCTTACATTTGTTATGATTCTGAGTTTCCATTGTCATTTTGATCAGAGAGAGAGAGAAAGCGATATAAGAGAGCTCAGTGAGTATAAAAGAGTGATACCTACATTGTTTTAAATTGCATCCAGCCCAAGTTAACATATTAAAAACTGTGTTTGCCTCCTCAGTTTCCAAACCACAAAGATACTTAGTCTTGCCCATTGGGCTGAATAGATGAAATAATTACACCACTAATATGAGTTGTAAAACTTACCAAAGATAATTCAGATAATGGGTATGCTTATGATTTGATAACAACTTTTACCTTTTGAGTAATTTCACTCTTTCATTCAATATATGTACTAACTATATATCCAACATATTATAAAGTTCATCATGATATGGCAGAACAAAAGGCATCACAAGAAGAGAGAGAATAATTTTGCCTGTGGTCATTAGTTTTGAAGTAGTAGAAAATGTCTAAATATTAGGTGGAGCAAACTAGTAAAACTGGCTCAAGTTTTCATTACACAACTTCGTTTCTCTAACCTCTGCAGCTTTGGAGCAATTCCCATCGACCAGAGTTGGTCCGACCAGCCTTGGAAAGGTCACTGAAAAATCTTCAATTGGACTATGTTGACCTCTATCTTATTCATTTTCCAGTGTCTGTAAAGGTAGGCAGCTTGTGTGATCAAATTAATTTCACTTTTGTTCTCAGCATAAATATTGTTTTCATGGAGATTTGAACTAAGCTTTTTCTTAGGAGGACATAGGGATTTTAACATGGAAGAAGAGCCCTAAACATAACTCCTAATTCCTTTCTATGGAACAGAAAGCAATTTTGAATCCATACTTCCGTGATTGCATGTCTACAAGAAAAGAGAGTGCAGAATCCTCAAAGCCTCTGCCTCAAAAACTTGAGGAAATGACAATCATCTCCTTGAAGGCACAAGGTCTTATTTATGATTCCTGATTTCACCTCTTGGGATGTTCACAGACACAGAGTTTCATGAAGCTGTGGTGTCCAGAAAACCTGCTGCACATAGGGTGCACAATGAGTTTCCATCTTCTTGCCTCTTTTCAAGGGGCAAGAACTCAGTCCGGGAATGTCTTAAACTACAAACCTTCATGGGAAACCTTGTTGCTTCTGCTTCCTCTCTTTTCACACTGGAGGTTTTATTTTTGCTTAGCCATGAATTCTTGTGTCATTCATAACTTTTGTCTTAAGGTACTGAAAACTAGTCAGGCTAGTTAATGCAAAAGGGTATATTAGATATGATAATGGGAAATCAAAGCCAGGGCTACATTAAGAATTTGATAAAAACTCTAAAAATATATCCTTTCTCCACCCTTATCTCTGCTTTATTACAAAAGGCTTTTTAAATATTTGTTCCAACCTTTTTCGTTGGTGGCATTTATGGCTTTGGAGCACTGTCAGGCCCATGTTCATTACCGTGAGCTCCTGTGCATCTCCTAATTTCCAAACTAGCCTGGAAAACGCCTCCATTGACCATGATTGGTTCATGGTCCTGTGCATGGAACATCATATGTTCAGGGAGATAAAGAACTCTGATAGTGGCACCTGGGTAAAAAGTACAATCCATTATATCTGGATATCAAGATCTTTTGCAGTTGAAGAGAGGTATTGCCACAGAGAAAATTATAGGAGCAGAAGAAAGTCAATGAAAGTCAATGATGACACTCCATTAGGAACCAGAAAGATGGTATTTATTTATACATATAATAGGTGTAAGAGATTAGAGGAAGCCTGTCACCTGAAGACATTCCTTATACCTTCATATGTAGTACACTTTGTACATACCACTCTCTGGAGCGCTGCATCACCTACCTCATGGAGGATTAGTGTCCTTAAATGTACCTCAGAGCATGGCTATGTGTGGAGAAATTGACTTGTGACATCACTAAACTGACTGCTTCTACTTCAGCCAGGTGAGGAAGTGATCCCAAAAGATGAAAATGGAAAAATACTATTTGACACAGTGGATCTCTGTGCCACATGGGAGGTGAGTGTTTGGAGGTGAGAGAACGGATAAGAAAGATGAGGTAGGATACATCTGTTTCCTATCTTCTTAGTACAAGTATGGAAAATGCACCATTGGATCAAAAACTTAGGAACTTTACAAAGGTAGTTTTTGTGAGCAGCGAGGAAAAAGAAATGACAGGCATACAAAAGAGAGAAGTGGAGGAGAAGAATTGGGGGTAAGGAGGACTGGGATTTCTTTCCTTGCCTGTACATTAATCTCTCCACTTTCCTAAGGAGGAAACAGAAATTCTCACTCTTGCAATCACTATCTTCTTCCCCAATTTTTCTGTTTTATTTTCTCCCTTTTAAGAACCACGGCTAGCTAGTTTGATTGTCACGTCTAGACAGTTGTTGCTTTCACAGTTCTATGTTACATTTATCTTGCTCTTCAGTCGACTACACAAATGATACCTCACAATTCCTTTTTCCCAGGCCATGGAGAAGTGTAAAGATGCAGGATTGGCCAAGTCCATCGGGGTGTCCAACTTCAACCACAGGCTGCTGGAGATGATCCTCAACAAGCCAGGGCTCAAGTACAAGCCTGTCTGCAACCAGGTGAGCGCCCTCAGCCTCCTCTCCTTTCTGTTCTTCATGCCCCTCTTTCTGTCCTATTGCCAAGTATCCATTCATTTAGTCCCACTTATCTTTGTAAAAGAGAAGATTCTAGAGAACAAAGCCTCTTCCTAGAAGGGCATGGAGTCCTCTTACTTGTACCCTGCTTAGAAAAGTCTTACGAAAAGGTGTTGTAACTTTGATGCTGAATTGTGTGTTACATTTATAGGAGGTCAATTCGATCAAGAAGTCCAAGGATTGCCAATTAGACTCAGGGAAAGGTGGACTTACCCCTAAGCTACGAAAGATGACCAGAGAGTGGACGGGTGAAGGTGATTTGGAGGGAACTGTGCATAGATATGAAGCCATGAAGAGATGGAATGAACAGTACATAAGGAGAGAGTGAGAGCAAGAGAAGAGAAATACTAGGGATTCACATGGGCTTCGGATGTCTCAGTGTCTCTTGATATCTCTGCTTTCACACTTCTTGACCAAGGGCATAGATACACTAAAAATTATCTGCAGACAGTGAAGGTCATCCATGGTAGAAAGAGAAAATGACCTGTTTATGGAGATATCTGTTCACAGTGGATGAAATCCACACTGAGGAAGGTTCAGCAGAACATGGAGCTGACCTATGACTGCCCCGCTCCTAGTCGGCTGCTTTTTGGAGTCTGTCATGCAATCAGCTGCTTAAACACATCTATTCTATGCATGGTTCTTTCATAGCCTAGAGATAATTCCATCTTTTCCTTGAGTCCTGACTGGTGATTCCAGGCCTCCTTGATCAAATTGACTGCCCCCAAATGTTACACACATTTCAGCATTAAAATCACTACACCTTTCCCAGTAACTTACATTTTTTGTTATAATTTTGTTATAATTTGGTATAATGATATGGTGCTGTGATAATTTAATAAAAGCATTGAGAAATTAATGTGGTTTTAATACTAGTAGTTCCCCAATTTTTTAATATGGCCATTTTCACACTTTCCAAAAATTTGATAAAAATAATACTGGAGACCCATGTTACCATTTATATTCAAAATTACTAACATTTTGCAATGTTATATGGAGTATATCTGCATAAATACATATAATGTTTCTAGAACCTCTTCAAGGTAAATTGTAAAGATGACAATTGACCCCTAGAGACCTCTCAAAGCATGTCACAGGAATGAAGATATTCTCCCAGTTCCAGTGTCATTACTGTATCTAAGAACATCATTTATAGTGCCCTTATGTCATTTGGTATCCGGTCCATATTTTAATTTTTCATTGCTTAATCAAAATATCTTTTGTAGCTCTTCTTTTTTTAACCAGAATTCAATTGTTTTTATATTGTTGTATTTGATATCAGTTAACTTGTTTTTCCCAGTTGAAGGTTCCTGTAAATTAAAAGTTAGATGTGAGTATTTTATTACATTGGCTTAAAACTTTGGGGCAAGAAAATGTTTTTATCATGCTGTGTTTTTCAAATTGCACGACACTAGACTGCATACAATCACAGAATGCCCCACTAGTGGTGAAGGTAGTTTTAAAAACTTGGTTAAGCTAACAGTGGTCAGATCTGTTGTTTTTAACTCATGTTTTCTCTTTAACAATTACTAGTAATCTGCTGGGGGATAATTCTCAACAGAAGAAGTCATATTCCCATGACAAATTTTCACATATGATTGAGTATACATCAGTGATTTGAACTTTTTTCTACTGCATTTCTGTTTTCTTCTTTGTTATTTCTTATTTGTTATTTCCTTGGGGTTTTTACATAATCATTTACAATTTTAACCACTTGTTTAACTATTCTTACCTGACATTTAATTAAAAATAATTTCTCACCAAGTAAAAATAATAAACTACTATTCCTCTAAGTGAGAGTAAAGGTAAACTTCTTCCTTCAATTAGCAATGTACTGTGAACGTAATTACTGTAATGACCACCATCAGAGTAGACAAAGATTGTTGTTCTTTTTCTCATTGTCGCACTAATTGCTACAGACTCACGGATTCTTGTGTTATGATTTTTAATTTATTTTACTCATTTTTTAATGCTCACATCTACTCAGCATATATATATATATTATATATATATAATATATATGAAAGAAGAATGTGATCAAAGACTCATGAGGGCAAGTGTAAAAGACAAAAGCACTTGTTTCATAGGGAACCCACTGGTGACATTTGAGATATCAACATACAAATCCATCATACAAAAAGGAAAAGTAATGAAAGACTGTGAAAATTATCAGTATTTATGTGTATATGTATATTTTCTAGTTCATCTATATAGATATATATCATAGATGGCATATATGATATATATATGTCAGATCAATTAGAAAACATACATATATATGTATGCATTTTTGGTATTAATTAGGAAACTAGTTCTTTTGTTTTTCAGACCTGCCCTCATGAGTCTTTGACCAAATTCTTGATTTCTGGCACGATTTGATGCCCAAGGCTCAAAGAATCTTACCTCATCCCAGCTCTGAAATTGGCCGTGTCTCCTTCTAGTGGTCGGAGTTATTGAGAAACCAGGATAGGGTTCATGGAGTTGCTTGTGCTCAGAAATAGCATTTCTATTTTCTTAGGAGAGAGGGGCATAAAATTTATTTTTATGAAAAAGATCATTTTTGACAATAATATTCTCAGTTCAAATTTAATGCTCTACATTATTCAGCTTCTTTTACTTTGGTGATTTTAATATTAATGTAACTTTTGGATTATCTGATGCTTTTCCATCTTGCTCGTCTGCAGGTGGAATGTCATCCTTACTTCAACCAGAGAAAACTGCTGGATTTCTGCAAGTCAAAAGACATTGTTCTGGTTGCCTATAGTGCTCTGGGATCCCATCGAGAAGAACCATGGTAATAAGAGATACAGGAAGTTTACCTAAAACACTGGTTTGATAAAAAAAATTTAATCAGATCATGCTGTTTCCTGGAGTTCACTCACAGCTGACTTGGGGTGAGGGAAGAATTTGCATTTCTGACGAGATCCCAGGTGATGTTGAGGCTGCTGTTCGGGGGCCTCGCTTGAGAAGCTCCGGTGCAGAGTGGACGCCTTAGTCTGTTTAGGGAGCCGCCTAACAAACTATCGCCAGCCTCAGGGCCTCAGCCTTTCTGCCTTTCCTTCCAGGGTGGACCCGAACTCCCCGGTGCTCTTGGAGGACCCAGTCCTTTGTGCCTTGGCAAAAAAGCACAAGCGAACCCCAGCCCTGATTGCCCTGCGCTACCAGCTGCAGCGTGGGGTTGTGGTCCTGGCCAAGAGCTACAATGAGCAGCGCATCAGACAGAACGTGCAGGTGAGGAGCGGGGCTGTGGGCCTCAGGTCTCCTGCACAGTGTCCTTCACACGTGTGCTTCTTGTAAGGCTCTCAGGACAGCCTTGGGCCAGCTCCATTTCCCTGTATTTCCTATGCATGAACTCTTTGTGTACGTCATAAGGGTTTCTTCTACTCTAGCACAGGAGAGGCAACAGAGGTGGAGAGTAATAGGATGGGATCAAAACTACAGATTTGGGTTAGCGTTAAGTCAGTGATATCCATATCCCTCTACTGGGGCCATGTCCTTTTCTTTATTTTTTATAATGAAGCATTGATTAGATGTTCTTTAGTCTCCAACTCATGGCGGATTTTTCTTCTTGTATGTTTATGTAGTATAAATTCCTTATATTTATTCTCTTAGAATTTTATCTTTGCGAAGTGCTTGTTTAACTCTGCCTTTTTTTTTGGCGAGGTGGTTGTGTGTCTTTATTTTTATGTGTAGGAGACCATATTTATACCAATACCTTAGGATATAAGACAAACCCACTTAATATAGAGGCTTAATGCAAAAGCATTTATTGAGCTCAAGGTTCCATGGTTAGAAAATTAGCCTGGGCTCAGCCTAAACTCAGTCCATTCCTTCTGTTCCTGGCTGGGCTCTCATGTGTGTTCAGGGCAGTGAGGCAGCTCTGCTTCAGGATGTCCCTGGGGCATCTGTGTGAGTGCCCCCCTCTCCCATGCAGTTCTTTATCCTCCAGCCATCCAGCCCAGGGTTCACCTCAGCACAGGGCATGACCCCAGCATAGTGAATGGACATGTGCAAAGCCTTTTTAGGTCTAGGCTCAGAGACACCAACCATTGCTTCTGGGAAATTCTATCACCTAATGCAAGTTACAGGACAGGTCAGACTCAAGGGGTGGGGAAACACACACCACCTCTTACTGGAAGGAACTGGAAATTCATATAGCCAAGCAAGTGGACACAGGGACATGTGATTGTTAGAGGGCATGTTCCTAATTAATCTATCATTTATATGATATGTGTGAAATAATATATCAATAGTTATATGTATGAATATGAATATATATAGATATATTATTTCATATATTCTCAAGAATTCATACAAGTCTCTAAAGAATTAACATCCAGAATACATACATATGTGTATGTTTTCTAATTAGTTAGATACATAAAATATACATCACGTATGATATATATTATAAAACCTATGTCATATATATGACATATATCATGTATATGTATATACGTCACTATTTACTAAAACATTAAGTAAAATAAGTGAAGAAATCCATAGGATACTCTGAAATAGTGATACAGAGAACGAGAGAATAAAAAATGACAATAATGAAACAATTGATGAATCTAGGTAATGGCATTCATTAAATTATTTTAAAAATATTTTTGGACATTAGAGAATTCACAAAACAAAAATGAAAAGTTATGAAAGACTGTGGAAATTATCAGTATTTATACATATGTGTATGTTCTCTAATTCATCTAGTATATATAGATATATATGATATATGACATATGTGTTATATAATATATATGTTAGATTAACTAGAAACCATACATATATATGTATTTATTCTGGATATGAATTCTTTAGAGACTTGAATGTATTCTTGAAATAACATCTCCCAAATTTTATCTGCGTTGTCATATTCTCTGTGGTTATGTTTTCACAAACAAAAGTTTCTATCCTTCATGTAGACTAATTTTTCATGCCTCTTTCTTGTGGTTGGTGTGTGTTGTGTCTTATCCTATATTGGGAATATCACAATATTTTACTGTGTTATCTTACAAAATTGTTAATATTCTTTCCTTATAAATTTGGTTAATTCTAATGGGTATGACTTTTAAAATATTATGTGAAATAAGGATCCAAATATGCGTATCTAATTTTTGAATTTTTAGCAAAATTTACCATTTATTGAAAAGTTTATATTTGCTCACATAACTTGAATTTTTTTACCTGACACATATATGAAATGTCCATGAGCAATTATCTGGCCTCTCTTCCATCTTCAGTTAACTTATTCACTTTTCTGTGCTATAATGTTAAAAAGTAAGTTTCACTTCCAGTATGGTACAAATATTTTTCTAACTTCTTCATTTATTTAATAATATCTTAGCTATTCTTGACTAATGTGTTATTTAAAATTTTGAATCATCTTATTAACTTCCACAGGCAAGTAAATGTTTTAGTCTCTCATTGACATTGTAATAAGCCTGCAGATCAATGCAGAGAGAACTGAATCTTTGACAATATTGAGATTTCCAGTCCATGATCATAATATGAATATCCCACTACTTATTAATAAATCATCTCTTAATAAATATATCATTAATTGCATAAATTTCTCCATTACTGATCATTTTTTTTTTGAGACAGAGTCTCGTTCTGTCACCCAGGGTGGAGTGCAGTGGCACGAACTCGGCTCACTGCAACCTCCACCTCCCGGGTTCAAGCAGTTCTCCTGCCTCAGCCTCCAGAGTAGCTGGGACTGCTGGCGCATGCTGCCATGCCCAGCTAATTTTTTGTATTTTAGTAGAGACGGGTTTCACTGTGTTGCCCAGGCTGTTCTCTAACTCCTGAAATCAGGCAATCCTCCTGCGCTGGCCTCCCAAAGTGCTAGGATTATAGGCGTGAGCCAACGTGCCCGGCAATTACTGATAATTTTAATAGTTTTTGATAACTTTTCATTTTCATTTTGTGGATTTTCTAATATATAGAAATATTAAAAGAATAATGCAACAAATCTTCTTACCTACATTCATCAAGTGTTACATTGCTGTCATTTTTTACTCTCTTTCTCTCATTTTCTGTATTACTCCTTCAGTTTCCCTATGGATTTATACACTTATTTGATTGAATGTATTAGAAAGAGTGACATCTTTTTGATATTTAGAGTCTCCCAAATTTACATAGTGAGTACCCACACCTTTTGAATGTGAAATCGTTAGTATTTAGACAATTATTGGCTTGAGTGATGTTGAAAACTGATTTTTCCTATTATACCTGTTCATTGGAGAGATAGATATTCAATGTTATTCATCAAACCTACTAAATTATGCTAGACATTACAAAATTTGCCTCTAGATTCTTGTGGGTCTTCTAGGTACATGGCCCTATCATGTGGGCACAAAGTAAGCTCTGTTTCTTCTTCAGCTTCCTCTGAGATATTCTCTTCATCTGCAGTGTTGTGCAGTTTCAAAATATTTTATCTGGGAATGGATTTCTGCTTATTTTTGACTGGTTTTCATTGACCACTTGGGTGTTTAGAGAGGTCTTTCATAAATTTTGGAAACGTATCAATCTTTTAAGTATTGTCTCTGCACCCTACTGTCTGATGAACTTGGTTGTTCCCAATTGGCAATGATGTAATCTAAAAATAATTAAAGTTTTCTATTACTTTGATAGGTGTTTGAATTCCAGTTGACTTCAGAGGAGATGAAAGCCATAGATGGCCTAAACAGAAATGTGCGATATTTGACCCTTGATATGTAAGTAATTTTGGAGATGGTTGTCCTAATTTATTTTCAGAGGAGGAACGTAGGATGGGTGTTGAGAGTGACCTCCACACCAGGGGCACAGAGGCCAACGTGAGACAGAGGTGAGACAGGAGCTTTCTGGAAGTCTCCTCCTGGATTCACTCCAGAGCTCTGTTCTCTGGCAGGGAGAGTGGCCTGGGGTCAGCATGGGTCAACCTGTGCCTCTGCTCTCGTGACTCCAAGGAACTTTCCAGAGCAGCCAAGATCATTGCTGAATCTGCACCTTCCATGTAGGCCTGCCGTTTGTATTACTGTCTAGTGTACACACTGTGGATATGGCCCATGTGGTCGCATTAGATGTTTCCAAATCTGTGCTTCTATCTTGTTCTTCCCAACCTGCTCAATGTCTTACCAGATCAAAGGCAGTTCCGTCAATCTTGTGGGCCAGGTTCCAATTCCCACCTCTTTCACATGGAATTGCTTGCTGGATCCTGTCAATTTAGCATTTTTAATCATTTCAAACCTTTTTCGTGCCTTTCTTTGCATGTTTGCCCATGAGCCAAATACTGCATTTGCCTCCAGAAAGTCTGTCTTAGTGGAGCGAATAGGAGCACTTGGCCTTGGTGTTCTGCAATATGGAGATCTCAGTGTAGAGAATGAGGAAGTGTTAAAATCAAATGCAGAGTGTAGATGCAAAAGCACCATTATTGGAGATAATTTATAACCAGTAACAGACGTTTACTATTCCTCTATATTCTAAGGTTCTAGGATTCATAGAAGGTCATTCAAATAATGAGGGAAAAAGAAGTTATGTAACTGATGGCAGTGGAGATTTTAACAAGTAATAGAGATGATGAGATAATGTGTGAAAAAAACAAGCACAATGGTACATCATAAGTACCCAAAATTTGGTGGATATTATTAGTAGTATTTTATCCACTTAGCAGAAAATACAAAATGAAAATGGAAATGATAATAAGAAAAGGAAAAGTGGCAAGCATTAGAAATGTTTACAACTGATTAATGTTTTTTATGATCATGAAATCAATCACTAGTGTTATTTTGTAGAACTCAAATATGGTCTGGAGTAAACCACTTGCGAGCTTCCAAGTGTTTGCTCTCGGTGTAATCACAAAGGATAGGCTCAATTCCGTAATTAACAAGTTATAACTGTATATGTGAGCAGTCATTTATCTGTGTCTTTACATTTTGGATTATGTCTACCTATAAAATGGTTTATGCATTGTAGCTCTTTGAATATTGGGCCCTATAACATAAACAATAATTTACGTTTCTAATCTAACCAAGTGTGTTGCGTATGATAGGCAGGTAGTAAGTAATATGTAAAGTAATAAAATAAAGTACAATTACTACCAGTATAATTATCACACTCAAAATTGTTTATTAGTGATGAGCATATATCTTCCTTATTCCTCTTCAATGTAAGGCAGAAGGAGTTCCTGTTTTTAGTGAGAATTTGAAATAGAAAAGGTCAGAATATCTCTTTGTTGACAGATGTGGGATCTGTTGTTGAGAGATGTAGAGAAACATGTTTGAACATTTCACTTTGTGTGTTTTATGTGTTAAGTTCCAGGCAGGGGAATAGAATTAAATTATTCTTTATTTTGAAAATACAGATATGATAAAGTCACGTTCATTAAACAAAGAAACACAGATTCTAGAGCAGTCAGAAAATGAACTTCTTAACATCTACACTAGCGGCAGCTTCCTAGAAATCACTGCGCTACGGGCTAGTAACGGAGTCATTGCCATTCAGAGTGTGCATTTTTTTTTCTCTTTCCAGTTTTGCTGGCCCCCCTAATTATCCATTTTCTGATGAATATTAACATGGAGGGCATTGCATGAGGTCTGCCAGAAGGCCCTGCGTGTGGATGGTGACACAGAGGATGGCTCTATGCTGGTGACTGGACACATCGCCTCTGGTTAAATCTCTCCTGCTTGGCGACTTCAGTAAGCTACAGCTAAGCCCATCGGCCGGAAAAGAAAGACAATAATTTTGTTTTTCATTTTGAAAAAATTAAATGCTCTCTCCTAAAGATTCTTCACCTACTTTGGTCTCCATAACTTCTATGTTTTCTCTCCTTCTGACACACTAGTGCCCCCAAATTGTGATTTGCCTATACGTTTAGGGCCGGGGTTGGAAGATGTTAACAACCATTTAAGATTCATTTCTGCAGTGGGAGTGGGTGGAGTTTCACCCTCTGGGAAAGGGGCAGGTGACAGGTATTTATCAGTCAGTGCCTCTCTAGCTCTTGTAGGAAGAAGCACACGCAGGATGGAGTCTAGAGGATGAGCGATATTGACTAGCAATTCATGGGCTCCCTCCAGCAGTGCGAGGGTCAGAGTTTCTGGAGCCTTGGGAGGAGGCATCCCTGTGAGGGGGGGTTAGGGAGATGGGAGGGCACCAGGAAAAGTGATTAGAAGTCAGGTATGGGAAGGCTAAATAGGACAGAGTCGAGTACATCTCTGCTTGGAAAAACATATCAACACCCTTTTTTTTGATCATTATATCTTGTTCATAAAAGAAAACTTTCCACATTGTTTTAACAAACCCCACAGCTGAGAGTCAGGCCTGAATCTTTGATGTGTGCCCATTCACAACGTTGACCCTATTGGTTTGTGGTGGGGCAGGACATCGAAGATATCATTGACTCATCACATTCCCCTGAATAGCTCATATTTAGAAAATATTCTTAGATTGTAAAAATGTACTGTTCATTTGTTATATGCAATCTTTTAAATGTTTTATACTTTAAACAAGGCATAGTTACAAGTATAAAACATAAATATCCCAAAGCCATTATGCATGGCACTCAAGATTAAAATGGGAAATAATACATCTAATAAATCAAATGTTCCAAGACTTCAAATGTCTTTTGGAAACAGGCTATGTAAAACAGCACACTGGTTTCAAACTTTGGTAAATTTTAAGAAGAACTCTTACAAAGGCATTTAATTCTTATACATAATTTTCAGGGGAACTAATCAAATCAGCTAATCATGAAGACATGATTTTCGTTTTAGAAAACACTTTTGAAAACTTGGGATAATCTCATGTCTTAATGATCAAAGCATTATGAGAAGGACAGTGGTTTTTTACCTGGGCACACTTTCTAACACATTTACTCTCCACTATTCGTACTCTGGTAGCCATGTTAACCCCATCAGAGATTCCTTCTCAAGCCATGTCTCAGAGCTGATAGGCATCCCAGCAAGTTTTGCAGCTCACAATTTTTCTGTAAATTACTTATTCTATAAAATTGGAAGAGGCCATAAACTTTGGAGGGCCCTAGACCAATTTTTTGGATTATTTCTGGTCTACTCTCATTCCGTTGATGATCTTAGATATTCTCTGCATTAAATATCACCTCTAGGCTGAGAAATCCACCAAAAAATATTTCTAGCTCAGCGTTTTCCTCCAAATCTTCAATGGAAGATCATAATGTGAACTCTGCATCTCCATGTTAAAGTTTAATGGACATTCACACTTAGCATGTCTCAAAGAAATCTCATGTAAACCATGGCCATCCTGTTCTACCTTAACTTTCTGAGTCTATGGAATGATAATTTCACATCTCATAAACTTGACTGATGTAAGTGTCAAGAAAAGATTGACATTTTGTTAAAACTTCGTAGCCAAGTGTGTAACGCTTAAGCAGACTTTCATATTTCAAATCTCTATAGCACGTGTAACTCTTTTTTCAAGATGTGAAATAATCATTAGGTCAGTCATTTGTAAATAGTACGGCTGCTGTGGGCTTTTTCCAGTTCTTCACCATCCATTTTTATAAAACTCTTATTGTTAAAAAAAAAAAGTTACTCAGAATTTCATAAAGCCAAACACCTGATTTCAGGAACACTTGAGATGTAAGAAAATTTTATAGGGACCTCCAATCACTAATTTTCCTATTTTTTCTCTCAAAGAAATGCTGAAGGGAGGAATTCAGGTTGAATGAAAGGAAATAGTAACTTACAGCCATATAGAGTTATAAAGACTTCTTGTAAATGTGAACATATGGTAAAATATAAAAACATGTATTTTTGAAATTTTGGATTCTACTCATTATTTTACTTCAATTTAAGATATAAATGTATAGAAATAAGTATAATTCTAAGCTAATACGTATGCAATGTAGGAAGCTGTAATTACTGACCAAAACTATGTGAAGTGGAGAAAACCTGGGGAAGTGGATGGTTTTAGATGAAACTGAAGTTAAATTCATATTGATTTAAAGTAAATTGTCATAACTTTATAAAGTTTTTCATCATCACCACAGCAATCACAAAGAGAATAATTATGAATATACGCAAGAGGAAATGAGAAGGGAATCCAAATGTCATTAAAAAAAAATCACGCCACCTCACAAAATGGTAACAGTGGATATAAAGGATAGAAAGCTATAAACCTGGTAGGAAAACATTGAAAATGGCACAAGTGACTCCTTCCCTGTCACCAATGACAGTCATGTGTTGCATAATGCCTGGGCTATCTTCTGAGAATGGCTTTGTTAGGCAACTGTGTCATGGTGGGGACATGATAGCATTAGAGAGAATTCTCTCAAACACTGTCATGGCCTTATCAACTATGCTTCTGTAATATTCTGAATCCTTCGCTGCCTTTCCAACAGTGTTTACAACGGTTTCCTAAGAAATGAAATCCATTTCACCAAACCACTTTTCTTGCTCATCCATAAGAAACACTTCTCCTTTGTTAAAATTACATCATGAGACTGCAAGCATTCAGTAACTTGCAAGCTCCAATTTGAATTCTAGTTGTCTTGCTATTTCCACCACATCTGCAATTACTTTCTCCACTGAAATCTTGCATTCCTCCAAGTCATCCAGGAGGGTTGAATTCACTTCTTTCAAACTCCTGTTCAAGTAAATGTTTTGCCCTCCTGTCACGAATCATGAATGGTTTTAATGGCATCTAGAATAGTAAATCTTTTTCAGAAGATTTTCAATTTTCTTTTCACAGATTCTTCAGACCAATCACTATGGTAGCCATATATTTATGAAATGTATTTCCTGAACCATAAAACAAGAACATCAAAATTACTCTATGACCCATGGGAAACAGAATGCACGTTGTATTAGCAGGCACGGAAACAGCAGTAATCTGTTTCAGCCTCTCTATAAGAAAGCTATCAGATTAGGTACATTGCCAAAAGGCAGTCCTGTTGGGAAAAAGCCCCCCAAAATCTGGCCATAAACTGGCCCCAAAACTTGCCATAAACAAAATCTCTGCAGCACTGTGACATGTTCATGATGGCCATAACGCCCACACTGGAGGGTCGTGGGTTTAGGGGAATGAGGGCAAGGAACACCTGGTCCACTCAGGGCAGAAAACTGCTTAAAGGCATTCTTAAGCCACAAACAATAGCATGAGTGATCTGTGCCTTAAGGACATGCTCCTACTGCAGTTAACTAGCCCAACCTATTCCTTTAATTCGGCCCATCCCTTCATTTCCCATAAGGATACTTTTAGTTAATTTAATATCTGTAGAAACAATGCTAATGACTGGCTTGCTGTTAATAAATATGTCGGTAAATCTCTGTTCAGGGCTCTCGGCTCTGAAGGCTGTGAGACCCCTAATTTCCCACTTCACACCTCTATATTTCTGTGTGTGTGTCTTTAATTCCTCTAGCGCCGCTGGGTTAGCATCTCCCCGACCGAGCTGGTCCCGGCATAGTCCTATTTTCAAAAAATTGTTTTTCTTTTGCTGAGCAGGACTTCTTAACAGTGGTCTTAAAATATTCAGTAAACCATTATTTAAGGAGATGTGACTTAAATATCTAGGATTTCTTGCTTTATTTATAGAACACTTGCATTGTAGATGTAGCTTAAATCTTAAGGGCCCTAGGATTGTTGGAATAGTAAATGAACATCATACTTAGGAATATAGATAGCCAGGGAGGGGAAAGATCTCTACAAGAAAAATTTAAAAACTACTCAAAGAAATCAGAGATAACACAATTGACAAAACAAGTACAGGGGCAGCAAAAGGTAACAGATGCCAACTATGAGATCTCATCAAGAACTAAGAAAATGGACAAAAGTACCACATAGCAGATGGGAGGCGGTGTTAGCATGCCTCTCCCACTTTGAAGGACAGATTAGTATGTAGAGATTTACATTGTGAATTTTTTTTCAAGAACTGATGCAGGAACTTAACACAAAAACCAAAAAAAGAATAAAAATCCACATACACTTTGAAGAAGAAGCGGGCACCAGCCTACTCCATGAAACAAGCAAAAAACGTCACAGCCCCACATTGTGAGGGGAGATAGTCCACTCCAGAGCACACATCCCCACTGGGAATCTGGAAATTCAGGCCACAAGATAAGGCTTTGATCCTATGCAGAGTGGGAATGGATTTAGTGAGCCAGTGAAATATACAAATAGAAGCAGCAGGAGTGTGAACTCAGGGAAGCCATTCCTGACTACATGTCACAGGGACCCTTGGCGAAGTCAGCTAATGAGCTCAGAGAGGGATCACAGGGTAAAAGAAGCTCCCAACTGAATTTTGTGATATAATCTCAAGTGAGGACACGTGCCCTTGAGCAGAACCCACAGGGGAGAGCTGGAAGTGCATTGCAGACATGAGCGCAGAAGCTGGGTGTCCAGCCTTGTGGGCAGACCAGGAAGGACGTGGCCTGAAAGCCATGGTTATTCTCTCTGTGGGAAAGCTGATGACCTGGAGCTTGTCTGAGTTCTGTGCACAGATTGCTTGGATGTAAACCTGGCACTGTTAGCAGAGCATTACAGGAATGAAAGGAATGAAAACTGCCTTGCCAACTCCATGCGTGCTGGGTGAAGCTCGCTGCCACCCATTACTTCCCACTCCCTTTGTGAACTCTTCTGTGCAGCAGAGGCAGTTAAACTCTCCTCTGGAACATTACCCCAGCAGCCTGAGAACCACCCCTTAGCCCTCACAGGGGCTGCAGCCTGCCTCATCCAAGGACAGTTAGAGTGCAGACCCACCTAACCCTAGACCCACTGGTGGTACCCATCCACCCATCCTGGTAGCTTAACACAAAGATACACTTTTAGGAGCTTCATACCCCCCCTTTCCCCATTGCCTGAGAAACCACTTTCCCTGGGCAACTTAGGGCAAGCTCAAATCCCACTGCTACCACCACAGCTGGTGCTCTTTTGCAAGTGCCACCTCCTAGCTGGAGACCAACCAGCACAGTCCACACAGCACCTCAAGGAATACATAGAACTGTTCCCAGGAAGGAGAAAATGCCTGCATGAGCTCAGCTATTACCACTGCGTATCACATCCTGGCCAATCAGAGGTCTTGAGTCGGTCCGCATGACAAGTTCACCGCTCACATAACCAGTGTTCAAGAAAGCCAGCACACTGAGCCTACCTACATCCAAGGCATCTCCGAGTCTACGTTGCTCCCCGCTACCTCAATCAGAGCTGGTGCTGGTGTCCACTGCTGGGAGACTTGACGACAGGTCACATCACTGGATCCTTTGCAAACAAATCCAGCACCAGCCTGGAGTCTGGGAGCCCACTGGGCGGCTAGGCCCAGAAGAGCAGTAGCAATCACTGTAGTCCAGCTCTCTCGAAGTCCCATTTTGAGGGTAGGGAAAAGAGTACCACATAAGGGAACACCAGTGGGACAGAAAAACCTGAATGGCAGCCCTTGAATCCCAGGTCTTTCCACTGTTGGGAAATTTCTTGCAGCAGACAAACAACTGCAGAGCTGGGTGCAGTAGGAAAAGCCTGCCCCTCTGCCCCAACAGGCAGGCAGCTTCTGTGACTGAGAAAGGTCCTGGAGAAGCAGTCCTTGTTCCCCGCTGGTGCACCACTGTAGACACAGCTGGGGCTTATCCCACAGGAGCGCAGAGTGGATGCACCTATAGAGAGCCTTCCTGGAACAATTCATGATGATTGCACCCCCACAGGAGAAGCACTCTCCAGGTGAATGCCATCAGCCTCCTCTCCTTTCTTGGTCCTGGCCAAGAGCTACAATGAGCAGCGTATCAGAGAGAACGTGCAGGTGAGGAGCGGGGCTGTGGGCCTCAGGGCTCCTGCATAGTGTCCTTCAAACATGTGCTTCTTGTAAGGTTCTGAGGACACCCTTGGGCCATCTCCTTTTCCCTGGCATATTCTATGCACAAATGCTTTGTGTTCATCATAAGGGTTTTCCACTTTACCACAGGAAAGACAGCATGGGTGGAGAGAATTAGGATGGGACCCAAACAAGAGATTTGGGTTTCAGCATTGAGTTGACAATTTACCTTGTATCCCTCTGCCAGGGACATCTCCTTTTCTTCATTTTCATAAACAAGGAGTTTAATTAGGTGTTCTTTAGTCTCCAAATCATTGTGAATTTCTTTCTTTTCCATATATACTCACATAGTATATACTTCTTATATTTATTCTCTTAGAGTTTTATCTTTGTGAAGCGCTTGTTAACTCTCTGACTCTTTTATTGGGTTGTTTGTCCTGTTTTTATGCATAGGAGATCATGATTATACTAATACTTTGGGATATAAAGCAAACCCTCTTAACATACAGGCTTTAATACGAAGCCATTTATTTAACTCATATTCCATGTTTAGAAAATTGGCCTGGGCTCCGCCTGAATGTTGCCCAGTCCTTCTGTTCCTGGCTGCGCTCTCATGTGTGTGCAGGGCAGTGAGGCAGCTCTGCTTCAGGATGTCCATGGGGCATCTGTCTGGGTGCCTCCATCTCCTCCGTGCAGTTCTTCATCCTCCAGCCATCCAGCCCAGGCTTCACCTCAGCACAAGTCTCCCAGCAGTGGATACCAGCACCAGCTCTGATTGAGGTGGCAGGGGAGTGACGTAGACTCTGAGACTCCCTGGCTGTAGATAGGCTTAGTGTGCTGGCTTTCTTGAATGCTGGTTATGCGAGCGGTGAACTTGTCATGCGGACCGACTCAAGACCTCTGACTGGTCAGGGTGTGGTACGCAGTGGTAACAGCTGAGCTCATGCAGGCATTTTCTCCTTCCTGGGAACAGTTCTATTTATTCTTCCTTGAGGTGCTGTGTGGACTGTGCTGGTTGGTCTCCAGCTAGGAGGTGGCACTTGCAAAAGAGCACCAGCTGTGGTGGTAGCAGTGGGATTTGAGCTTGCCCTAAGTTGCCCAGGGAAAGTGGTTTCTCAGGCAATGGGGGAAGAGGGGCTATGAAGCTCCTAAAAGTGTATCTTTGTGTTAAGCTACCAGGATGGGTGGATGGGTACCACCAGTGGGTCCAGGGTTAGGTGGGTCTGCACTCTAACTGTCCTTGGATAAGGCAGGCTGCAGCCCCTGTGAGCGCCAAGGGGTGGTTCTCAGGCTGCTGGGGTAATGTTCCAGAGGAGAGTTTAATTGCCTCTGCTGCACAGAAGAGTTCAAAAAAGGGAGTGGGAAGTAGTGGGCCGCTTACAGCTTGCAGTGAGTTCTCAGACAATTGTAGCTGGGCTGTCCAGGGAGGGGGGTGGGGCGCAGCTCTTCTAAGAAGGTCCCCCCAGCATCCCTCCGCCAAGTACTTATTGAAGGGGCTTGTTAAGCCACAAACATCCACTAGATGGCTTTATGAGGTCAGGTCGTGAGACACCTGTGGCCTTGTAAAAGCACTCAAACCGCATTCTCAGGAGACCGTTTTCAGCATTCCTTATCACAGCACACACACCACTCCCTGTCCTGTTTTCAAGGTCAAGGAGTTTCATTCTCAGCACAAATAACATACACACACTGCCTCAGTATTTTTCCATGCCCCGACCTCAAATGCCTGTACGTAATGTTGAATAGCTTGCCGTGCGCCCCCCACAGTGAGCCTCACCCAGCACCTATGCAGTTGGCAAGGCTATTTTCATTCCTTTCATTCATGCAGTGCTCTGCTAACAGTGCCAGGTTTACATCCAGGCAGTCTGCGCACAGAACTCTGACCAGCCTCAGATCATCAGCTTACACGCTGAGATAATAACCATGGCTTTCAGGCCACATCCCTCCCGGTCTGCCCACAAGGCTGGACACCCAGCTTCTGTGCTCATATCTGCCATGCACTTCCAGCTCTCCCCTGTGGATTCTGCTCAAGGCACTTGTCCGCACAGGATCAAAGCCTTCTCTTGTGGCCTGAATTTCCAGATCCCCAGTGGGGATGTATGCTCTGGAGTGAACTCTCTCCCCTCAGAATCTGGGGATGTGATGGTTTTTTCTTATTTCATGGAGTAGGATTGTGCCTGAGACTTCTTCAGAGTGTATGTGAAATTTTTTCATATATCTGTTAAGTCTCTGCATTGGTTCTTGAAAAGAAATTCACAATGTAAATCTCTACACACTAATCTCCAAGTGGGAGAGGCATGCTCACACTGCCTCCCATCTGCCATCTGGTACTTTTCTCCATTTTCTTAGTTCTTGATGAGATCTCATAGTTGACATCTGTTACCTTTTGCTGCCCCTGTACTTGTTTTGTCATTTTGTGATATCTCTGATTTCTTTGAGTAGTTTTTAAAATTATTTCTTGTAGAGATCTTTCCCCTCCCTGGCTAACTATATTACAACATATGATGTTCATTTACTATTCTAACAATCCTAGGGTCCTTAAGATTTAATCTATATCTACTCTGTAAGTGTTCTATAAATAAAGCAAGAAAGCCTAGATATTTAAGCCACATCTCCTTAAATAATGGTTTACTGAATATTTTAAGCCCACTGTTAAGACTTACTGCTCAGCAAAAGAAAAAGTTCTTTGAAATTAGAACTGCCTATCGACAAGGTACCTAATCAACCAAGAACTCTCTTACAGAGGTTGAAAGAGATTACTGTTCTTTCCATGCCTGCTAACACAACATGCATTCTGTTTCCCATGGATCATAGAGTAATTTTGATGTTCTTGTTTTATGGTTCAGGAAATACATTTCATAAGTCTACAGCTACCATGGTGACTTGTCTGAAGAACCTGGGAAAAGAAAATTGAAAATCTTCTGAAAAAGATTTACTATTCTAGATGCCATTAAAAACATTCATGATTCGTGACAGGAGGGCAAAACATTTACTTGAACAGGAGTTTGAAAGAAGTGAATTCAACCCTCCTGGATGACTTGGAGGAATGCAAGATTTCAGTGGAGAAAGTAATTGCAGATGTGGTGGAAATAGCAAGACAACTAGAATTCAAATTGGAGCTTGCAAGTTACTGAATGCTTGCAATCTCATGATGTAATTTTAACAAAGGAGAAGTGTTTCTTATGGATGAGCAAGAAAAGTGGTTTGGTGAAATGGATTTCATTTCTTAGGAAACCGTTGTAAACACTGTTGGAAAGGCAGCGAAGGATTCAGAATATTACAGAAGCATAGTTGATAAGGCCATGACAGTGTTTGAGAGAATTCTCTCTAATGCTATCATGTCCCCACCATGACACAGTTGCCTAACAAAGCCATTCTCAGAAGATAGCCCAGGCATTATGCAACACATGACTGTCATTGGTGACAGGGAAGGAGTCACTTGTGCCATTTTCAATGTTTTCCTACCAGGTTTATAGCTTTCTATCCTTTATATCCACTGTTACCATTTTGTGAGGTGGCGTGATTTTTTTTTAATGACATTTGGATTCCCTTCTCATTTCCTCTTGCGTATATTCATAATTATTCTCTTTGTGATTGCTGTGGTGATGATGAAAAACTTTATAAAGTTATAACAATTTACTTTAAATCAATATGAATTTAACTTCAGTTTCATCTAAAACCATCCACTTCCCCAGGTTTTCTCCACTTCACATAGTTTTGGTCAGTAATTACAGCTTCCTACATTGCATACGTATTAGCTTAGAATTATACTTATTTCTATACATTTATATCTTAAATTGAAGTAAAATAATGAGTAGAATCCAAAATTTCAAAAATACATGTTTTTATATTTTACCATATGTTCACATTTACAAGAAGTCTTTATAACTCTATATGGCTGTAAGTTACTATTTCCTTTCATTCAACCTGAATTCCTCCCTTCAGCATTTCTTTGAGAGAAAAAATAGGAAAATTAGTGATTGGAGGTCCCTATAAAATTTTCTTACATCTCAAGTGTTCCTGAAATCAGGTGTTTGGCTTTATGAAATTCTGAGTAACTTTTTTTTTAACAATAAGAGTTTTATAAAAATGGATGGTGAAGAACTGGAAAAAGTCCATAGCAGATGTACTATTTACAAATGACTGACCTAATGATTATTTCACATCTTGAAAAAAGAGTTACACTTGCTAAAGAGATTTGAAATATGAAAGTTTGCTTAAGCGTTACACACTTCACTACTAACTTTTAACAAAATGTCAATCTTTTCTTGACACTTACATCAGTCAAGTTTATGAGATGTGAAATTATCATTCCATAGACTCAGAAAGTTAAGGTAGAACAGGATGGCCATGGTTTACATGAGATTTCTTTGAGACATGCTAAGTGTGAATGTCCATTAGACTTTAACATGGAGATGCAGAGTTCACATTGTGATCTTCTATTGCAGAATTTGGAGGAAAAATCTGAGCTAGAAATATTTTTAGGGGGATTTTTCAGCCTAGAAGTGATATTTAATATTTAATGCAGAGAATATCTAAGATCAGCGGAATGATAGAAGACGAAAAATAATCCAAAAAATTGGTCTAGGGCCCTCCAAAGTTTATGGCCTACTCCAATTTTATAGAATAAGTAATTTACGGAAAAAACTGTGAGCTGCAAAACTTGCTGGGATGCCTCTCAGCTCTGAGACATGGCTTGAGAAGGAATCTCTGATGGGGTTAACATGGCTACCAGAGTACGAATAGTGGAGAGTAAATGTGTTAGAACATATGCCCAGGTTAAAAACCACTGTCCTTCTCATAATGCTTTGATCATTAAGGCATGAGATTATCCCAAGTTTTCAAAAGTGTTTTCTAAAATGAAAATCATGTCTTCATGATTAGCTGATTAACTTAGGTCCCCTGAAAATTATGTATAAGAATTAAATGCCTTTGTAAGAGTTGTTCTTAAAATTTACCAAAGTTTGAAACCAGTGTGCTGTTTTACATAGCCTGTTTCCAAAAGACCTTTGAAGTCTTGGAACATTTGATTTATTAGATGTATTATTTCCCATTTTAATCTTGAGTGCCATGCATAATGGCTTTGGGATATTTTTGTTTTATATTTGTAACTATGCCTGTTTAATGTATAAAATATTTAAAAGACTGAATATCACAAATTAATAGTACATTTTTAGAATCTAAGAATATTTTCTAAATATGAGCTATTCAGGGGAATGTGATTAGTCAATGATGTCTTTGATGCCCTGCCCCACCACAAACCAATAGGGTCAACGTTGTGAATGGGCACACATCAAAGATTCAGGCCTGACTCTCAGCTGTGGGGTTTGTTAAAACAATGTGGAAAGTTTTCTTTTATGAGCAAGATATAATGTTCAAAAAAAAGGGTGTTGATATGTTTTTCCAAGCAGAGATGTACTCGACTCTGTCCTATTTAGCCTTCCCATACCTGACTTCTAATCACTTTTCCTGGTGCCCTCCCATCTCCCTAACCCCCCCTCACAGGGATGCCTCCTCCCAAGGCTCCAGAAACTCTGACCCTCGCACTGCTGGAGGGAGCCCATGAATTGCTAGTCAATATCGCTCATCCTCTAGACTCCATCCTGCGTGTGCTTCTTCCTACAAGAGCTAGAGAGGCACTGACTGATAAATACCTGTCACCTGCCCCTTTCCCAGAGGGTGAAACTCCACCCACTCCCACTGCAGAAATGAATCTTAAATGGTTGTTAACATCTTCCAACCCCGGCCCTAAACGTATAGGCAAATCACAATTTAGGGGCACTAGTGTGTCAGAAGGAAAGAAAACATAGAAGTTATGGAGACCAAAGTAGGTGAAGAATCTTTAGGAGAGAGCATTTAATTTTTTCAAAATGAAAAAACAAAATTATTGTCTTTCCTTTCTGGCCAATGGGCTTTGCTGTAGCTTGCTGAAATCACCAAGCAGGAGAGATTTAACCAGAGGCGATGTGTCCAGTCACCAGCATAGAGCCATCCTCTGTGTCACCATCCACACGCAGGGCCTTCTGGCAGACCTCATGCAATGCCCTCCATGTTAATATTCATCAGAAAATGGATAATTAGGGGGGCCAGCAAAACTGGAAAGAGAAAAAAAAATGCACACTCTGAATGGCAATGACTCCGTTACTAGCGGGTAGTGCAGTGATTTCTAGGAAGCTGCCGCTAGTGTAGATGTTAAGAAGTTCATTTTCTGACTGCTCTAGAATCTGTGTTTCTTTGTTTAATGAATGTGACTTTATCATATCTGTATTTTCAAAATAAAGAATAATTTAATTCTATTCCCCTGCCTGGAACTTAACACATAAAACACACAAAGTGAAATGTTCAAACATATTTCTCTACATCTGTCAACAGAGCAAAGAGATATACTGACCTTTTCTATTTCAAATTCTCAGTAAAAATGGAACTATACTGCCTTACATTGAAGAGGAATAAGCAAGACATATGCTCATCACTAATAAACAATTTTGAGTGTGATGATTATACTGGTAGCAATTATACTTAATTACTTTACATATTACTACCTGCCTATCATATGCAACATAGTTGGTTAGATTCAGAAATGTAAATTGTTGTTTTTGATATAGGGTCCAATATCCAAAGAGCTACAATGTATAAACCATTTTATAGGCAGAAATAACACAAAATGTAAAGACACAGATAAATGACTGCTCACATGTACAATTACAACTTATTAATTAGGGAATTGAGCCTATCCTTTTTGATTACACCAAGAGCAAACACTTGGAAGCTCGCAAGTGGTTTACTCCAGACCATATTTGAGTTCTACAAAATAACACTAGTGATTGATTTCATGATCCCCAAAAACATTAATTGGTTTTAAAACTTTCTAATGCTTGCCACTTTTCCTTTTCTTTTTATCATCTCCGTTTTCATTTTGTATTTTCCTCTAAATGAATAAAATACTACTAATAATATCCACCAAATTTTGGGTACTTATGATGTACCATTGTGCTTGTTTTTTTCACACATTATCTCATCATCTCTATTACTTGTTGAAATCCCTACTGCCAGCAGTTACATAACTTCTTTTTTCCCTCATTATATGAATGACCTTCTATGAATCCTAGAACCTTAGAACACAGAGGAATAGTAAACTTCTGTTATTGGTTATAAATTATCTCCAACAATGGTGCTTTTGCATCTACACTCTGCATTTGATTTTAACATTTCTTCATTCTCTGCACTGAGATCTCCATATTGCAGAACACCAAGGCCAAGTGCTCCTATTCGCTTCACTAAGACAGACTTTCTGGAGGCAAATGCAGTGTTTGGCTCATGGGCAAACATGCAAAGACAGGCACGAAAAAGGTTTGAAATGATTAAAAATGCTAAATCGACAGGATCCAGCAAGCAATTCCATGTGAAAGAGGTGGGAATTGGAACCTGGCCCACAAGATTGACGGAACTGCCTTTGATCTGGTAAGACATTGAGCAGGTTGGGAAGAACAAGATAGAAGCACAGATTTGGAAACATCTAATGCGACCACATGGGCAATATCCACAGTGTGTACACTAGACAGTAGCACAAACAGCAGGCCTACATGGAAGGTGCAGATTCAGCAATGATCTTGGCTGCTCTGGAAAGTTCCTTGGAGTCACGAGAGCAGAGGCACAGGTTGACCCATGCTGACCCCAGGCCACTCTCCCTGCCAGAGAACAGAGCTCTGGAGTGAATCCAGGAGGAGACTTCCAGAAAGCTCCTGTCTCACCTCTGTCTCACGTTGGCCTCTGTGCCCCTGGTGTGGAGGTCACTCTCAACACCCATCCTACGTTCCTCCTCTGAAAATAAATTAGGACAACCATCTCCAAAATTACTTACATATCAAGGGTCAAATATCGCACATTTCTGTTTAGGCCATCTATGGCTTTCATCTCCTCTGAAGTCAACTGGAATTCAAACACCTATCAAAGTAATAGAAAACTTTAATTATTTTTAGATTACATCATTGCCAATTGGGAACAACCAAGTTCATCAGACAGTAGGGTGCAGAGACAATACTTAAAAGATTGATACGTTTCCAAAATTTATGAAAGACCTCTCTAAACACCCAAGTGGTCAATGAAAACCAGTCAAAAATAAGCAGAAATCCATTCCCAGATAAAATATTTTGAAACTGCACAACACTGCAGATGAAGAGAATATCTCAGAGGAAGCTGAAGAAGAAACAGAGCTTACTTTGTGCCCACATGATAGGGTCATGTACCTAGAAGACCCACAAGAATCTAGAGGCAAATTTTGTAATGTCTAGCATAATTTAGTAGGTTTGATGAATAACATTGAATATCTATCTCTCCAATGAACAGGTATAATAGGAAAAATTAGTTTTCAACATCACTCAAGCCAATAATTGTCTAAATACTAACGATTTCACATTCAAAAGGTGTGGGTACTCTCACTATGTAAATTTGGGAGACTCTAAATATCAAAAAGATGTCACTCTTTCTAATACATTCAATCAAATAAGTGTATAAATCCATAGGGAAACTGAAGGAGTAATACAGAAAATGAGAGAAAGAGAGTAAAAAATGACAGCAATGTAACACTTGATGAATGTAGGTAAGAAGATTTGTTGCATTATTCTTTTAATATTTCTATATATTAGAAAATCCATAAAACAAAAATGAAAAGTTATCAAAAACTATTAAAATCATCAGTAACAGAGAAAGTTATGAAATTAATTATATATTTATTAAAAGGCTATTAATAAGTGGGAAATTCATATTATGATCATGCATTGGAAATCTCAATATTGTCAAACATTTAGTTCTCTCCACATTGATCTGGAGGCTTATTACAATGTCAACAAGAGACTAAACATTTATTTGCTTGTGGAAGTTAATAAGATGATTCAAAGTTTTAAATAACACATTAGTCAAGAATAGCTAAGATATTATTAAATAAATGAAGAAGTTAGAAAAATATTTGTACCATACTGGAAGTGAAACTTACTTTTTAACATCATAGTACAGAAAAGTAAATAAGTTAACTGAAGATGGAAGAGAGGCCAGATAATTGCTCATGGACATTTCATATATGTTACAGGTAAAAAAATCAAGTTATGTGAGCAAATATGAACTTTTCAATAAATGTTGGTGGGAAATTTTGCTAAAAATTCAAAAATTAGATATGCATATTTGGATCCTTATCTCATACAGTATTTAAAAAGTCAATCCCATTAGAATTAACCAAATTTATAAGGAAAGAATATTAACAATTTTGTAAGATAACACAGTAATATATTGTGATATTCCCAATATAGGATAAGACACAACACTCACCAACCACAAGAAAGAGGCATGAAAAATTAGTCTACATGAAGGATAGAAACTTTTGTTTGTGAAAACATAACCACAGAGAATATGACAACACAGGTAAAATTTGGGAGATGTTATTTCAAGAATACATTTAAGTCTCTAAAGAATTAATATCCAGAATAAATACATATATATGTATGGTTTCTAGTTAATCTAACATATATATTATATAACACATATGTCATATATCTATATATACTAGATGAATTAGAGAACATACACATATGTATAAATACTGATAATTTCCACAGTTATTTCATAATATTTCCTTTTAGTTTTGTGGGTTTTCTAATGTCTAAAAATATTTTTAAAATAATATAGTAAATGCCATTACCTAGATTCATCAATTGTTTCATTGTCATTTTTTACTTTCTTTCTCATTCTCTGTATCATTATTTCAGAGTATCCTATGGATTTCTACACTGATTTTACTTAATGTTTTAGCAAATAGTGACACATATACATATACATGATATATGTCATATATGTGACATAGGTTTTATAATATATATCATATATGATATTTCATATATCTGTATATAACTAATTAGAAAACATATATATGCATGTATTCTGGATATTAATTCTTTAGAGACTTGGATGTATTCTTAAGAATATATGAAATAGTATATCAATTTATATATATTCATATTCATACATATAACTATTAATATGTTATTTCACACATATCGTATAAATGATAGATTAATTAGGAACATGCCCTCTAACAATCACATGTCCCTGTATCCACTTGCTTGGTTATATGAATTTCCAGCTCCTTCCAACAAGAGGTGGTGTCTTTTTCCCCACCCCTTGAGTCTGACCTGTCCTGTAACTTGCATTAGGTGATAGAATTTCCCAGAAGCAATGGTTGGCAGCTCTGAGCCTAGACCTGAAAAGGCTTTGCACATGTCCACTCACTGCCTTGGGGTCATGCCCTGTGCTGAGGTGAACCCTGGGCTGGATGGCTGGAGGATAAAGAACTGCATGGGAGAGGGGGGCGCTCACACAGATGCCCCAGGGACATCCTGAAGCAGAGCTGCCTCACTGCCCTGAACACACATGAGAGCCCAGCCAGGAACAGAAGGAATGGACTGAGTTTAGGCTGAGCCCAGGCTAATTTTCTAACCATGGAACCTTGAGCTCAATAAATGCTTTTGCATTAAGCCTCTATATTAAGTGGGTTTGTCTTATATCCTAAGGTATTGGTATAAATATGGTCTCCTACACATAAAAATAAAGACACACAACCACCTCGCCAAAAAAAAAAAGGCAGAGTTAAACAAGCACTTCGCAAAGATAAAATTCTAAGAGAATAAATATAAGGAATTTATACTACATAAACATACAAGAAGAAAAATCCGCCATGAGTTGGAGACTAAAGAACATCTAATCAATGCTTCATTATAAAAAATAAAGAAAAGGACATGGCCCCAGCAGAGGGATATGGATATCACTGACTTAACGCTAACCCAAATCTGTAGTTTTGATCCCATCCTATTTCTCTCCACCTCTGTTGCCTCTCCTGTGCTAGAGTAGAAGAAACCCTTATGACGTACACAAAGAGTTCATGCATAGGAAATACAGGGAAATGGAGCTGGCCCAAGGCTGTCCTGAGAGCCTTACAAGAAGCACACGTGTGAAGGACACTGTGCAGGAGACCTGAGGCCCACAGCCCCGCTCCTCACCTGCACGTTCTGTCTGATGCGCTGCTCATTGTAGCTCTTGGCCAGGACCACAACCCCACGCTGTAGCTGGTAGCGCAGGGCAATCAGGGCTGGGGTTCGCTTGTGCTTTTTTGCCAAGGCACAAAGGACTGGGTCCTCCAAGAGCACCGGGGAGTTCGGGTCCACCCTGGAAGGAAAGGCAGAAAGGCTGAGGCCCTGAGGCTGGGGATACAGTTTGTTAGGCGGCTCCCTAAACAGACTAAGGCGTCCACTCTGCACCGGAGCTTCTCAAGCGAGGCCCCCGAACAGCAGCCTCAACATCACCTGGGATCTCGTCAGAAATGCAAATTCTTCCCTCACCCCAAGTCAGCTGTGAGTGAACTCCAGGAAACAGCATGATCTGATTAAATTTTTTTTATCAAACCGGTGTTTTAGGTAAACTTCCTGTATCTCTTATTACCATGGTTCTTCTCGGTGGGATCCCAGAGCACTATAGGCAACCAGAACAATGTCTTTTGACTTGCAGAAATCCAGCAGTTTTCTCTGGTTGAAGTAAGGATGACATTCCACCTGCAGACGAGCAAGATGGAAAAGCATCAGATAATCCAAAAGTTACACTAATATTAAAATCACCAAAGTAAAAGAAGCTGAATAATGTAGAGCATTAAATTTGAACTGAGAATATTATTGTCAAAAATGATCTTTTTCATAAAAATAAATTTTATGCCCCTCTCTCCTAAGAAAATAGAAATGCTATTTCTGAGCACAAGCAACTCCATGAACCCTATCCTGGTTTCTCAATAACTCCGACCACTAGAACGAGACACGGCCAATTTCAGAGCTGGGATGAGGTAAGATTCTTTGAGCCTTGGGCATCAAATCGTGCCAGAAATCAAGAATTTGGTCAAAGACTCATGAGGGCAGGTCTGAAAGACAAAAGAACTAGTTTCCTAATTAATACCAAAAATGCATACATGTATATGTATGTTTTCTAATTGATCTGACATATAATATATATATCATATATGCCATCTATGATATATATCTATATAGATGAACTAGAAAATATACATACACACATAAATACTGATAATTTTCACAGTCTTTCATTACTTTTCCTTTTTGTATGATGGATTTGTATGTTGATATCTCAAATGTCACCAGTGGGTTCCCTATGAAACAAGTGCTTTTGTCTTTTACACTTGCCCTCATGAGTCTTTGATCACATTCTTCTTTCATATATATTTTATATATATATATATATAATATATATATGCTGAGTAGATGTGAGCATTAAAAAATGAGTAAAATAAATTAAAAATCATAACACAAGAATCCGTGAGTCTGTAGTAATTAGTGCGACAATGAGAAAAAGAACAACAATCTTTGTCTACTCTGATGGTGGTCATTACAGTAATTACGTTCACAGTACATTGCTAATTGAAGGAAGAAGTTCACCTTTACCCTCACTTAGAGGAATAGTAGTTTATTATTTTTACTTGGTGAGAAATCATTTTTAATTAAATGTCAGGTAAGAATAGTTAAACAAGTGGTTAAAATTGTAAATGATTATGTAAAAACCCCAAGGAAATAACAAATAAGAAATAACAAAGAAGAAAACAGAAATGCAGTAGAAAAAAGTTCAAATCACTGATGTATACTCAATCATATGTGAAAATTTGTCATGGGAATATGACTTCTTCTGTTGAGAATTATCCCCCAGCAGATTACTAGTAATTGTTAAAGAGAAAACATGAGTTAAAAACAACAGATCTGACCACTGTTAGCTTAACCAAGTTTTTTTTTTTTTATTATACTTTAAGTTCGAGGGTACATGTGCACATTGTGCAGGTTAGTTACATATGTATACATGTGCCATGTTGGTACGCTGCACCTACTAACTCGTCATCTAGCATTAGGTATATCTCCCAGTGCTATCCCTCCCCCCTCCCCCCACCCCACAACAGTCCCCAGAGTGTGATATTCCCCTTCCTGTATCCATGTGATCTCATTGTTCAATTCCCACCTATGAGTGAGAATATGCGGTGTTTGGTTTTTTGTTCTTGCGATAGTTTACTGACAATGATGATTTCCAGTTTCATCCATGTCCCTACAAAGGATATGAACTCATCATTTTTTATGGCTGCATAGTATTCCATGGTGTATATGTGCCACATTTTCTTAATCCAGTCTATCATTGTTGGAGCTTAACCAAGTTTTTAAAACTACCTTCACCACTAGTGGGGCATTCTGTGATTGTATGCAGTCTAGTGTGGTGCAATTTGAAAAACACAGCATGATAAAAATATTTTCTTGCCCCAAAGGTTTAAGTCAATGTAATAAAACACTCTCATCTAACTTCTAATTTACAGAAACCTTCAACAACTGGGAAAAACAAGTTAACTGATATCAAAATACAACAATATAAAAACAATTGAATTCTGGTTAAAAAAAGAAGAGCTACAAAAGATATTTTGATTAAGCAAGGAAAAATTCAAATATGGACTGGATACCAAATGACATGAGGGCACTATAGATGATGTTCTTAGATACAGTAATGACACTGGAACTGGGAGAATATCTTCATTCCTGTGACATGCTTTGAGAGGTCTCTAGGGGTCAATTGTCATCTTTACAATTTACCTTGAAGAGGTTCTAGAAACATTATATGTATTTATGCAGATATACTCCATATAACATTGCAAAATGTTAGTAATTTTGAATATAAATGGTAACATGGGTCTCCAGTATTATTTTTATCAAATTTTTGGAAAGTGTGAAAATGGCCATATTAAAAAATTGGGGAACTACTAGTATTAAAACCACATTAATTTCTCAATGCTTTTATTAAATTATCACAGCACCGTATCATTATACCAAATTCACTAATTTTATACATATGTATTTCCACTGTAGATCTTCACTGATTGACTCTAAGTTTTAAAACATAAAATAAAACAAAAAAATGTAATTTACTGGGAAAAGTGTAGTAACTTTAATGCTGAAATGTGTGTAACATTTGGGGACAGTCAATTTGATCAAGGAGGCCTGGAATCACCAGTCAGGACTCAAGGAAAAGATGGAATTATCTCTAGGCTACAAAAGGAACACATAGAGAATAGATGTGTTTAAGCAGCTGATTGCATGACAGACTCCAAAGAAGAGCAGCCAACTAGGAGCGGGGGCAGTCATAGGTCAGCTCCATGTTCTGCTGAACCTTCCTCAGTGTGGATTTCATCCACTGTGAACAGATATCTCCCATAAACAGGTTATTTTCTCTTTCTACCATGGATGACCTTCATTGTCTGCAGATAATTTTTAGTGTATCTATGCCCTTGGTCAAGAAGTGTGAAAGCAGAGACACCAAGAGGCACTGAGACATCCGAAGCCCATGTGAATCCCTAGTATTTCTCTTCTCTTGCTCTCACTCTCTCCTTATGTACTGTTCATTCCATCTCTTCACGGCTTCATATCTATGCACAGTTCCCTCCAAATCACCTTCACCCATCCATTCTCTGGTCATCTTTCATAGCTTAGGGGTAAGTCCACCTTTCCCTGAGTCTAATTGACAATCCTTGGCCTCCTTGATTGAATTGACCTCCCATAAATATAACACACAATTCAGCATCAAAGTTACAACACCTTTTCTAAGACTTTTCTAAGCCGGGTACAAGTAAGATCCCTCTATGCCCTTCGAGACAGAGTCTTTGCTCTCTAGAATCTTCTCTTTTACAAAGATAAGTGGGACTAAATGAATGGATACTTGGCAATAGGACAGAAAGAGGGGCATGAAGAACAGAAAGGAGAGGAGGCTGAGGGTGCTCACCTGGTTGCAGACAGGCTTGTACTTGAGCCCTGGCTTGTTGAGGATCATCTCCAGCTGCCTGCGGTTGAAGTTGGACACCCCGATGGACTTGGCCAATCCTGCATCTTTACACTTCTCCACGGCCTGGGAAAAAGGAATTGTGAGGTGTGGAAGATCAAGATAAATGTGACACAGAACTGTGAAAGTAACAACTGTCTAGATATGACAATAAAACTAGCTAGCCGTGGTTCTTAAAAGGGAAAAAATAAAACAGAAAATTGGGGAAGAAGATAGTGATTGCAAGAGTAAGTATTTCTGTTTCCTCCTTGGGAAACTGGAGAGATTAGTGAAAAGGCAAGGAAATAAATCCCAGTCCTCCTTACCCCCAATTCTTCTCCTCCACTTCTCTCTTTTGTATGCCTGTCATTTCTTTTTCCTCACTGCTCACAAAAACTACCTTTGTAAAGTTCCTAAGTTTTTGATCCAATGGTGCATTTTCCATACTTGTACTAAGAAGATAGGAAACAGATGTATCCTACCTCATCTTTCTTATCCGTTCTCTCACCTCCAAACACTCACCTCCCATGTGGCACAGAGATCCACTGTGTCAAATAGTATTTTTCCATTTTCATCTTTTGGGATCACTTCCTCACCTGGCTGAAGTAGAAGCAGTCAGTTTAGTGATGTCACAAGTCAATTTCTCCACACATAGCCATGCTCTGAGGTACATTTAAGGACACTAATCCTCCATGAGGTAGGTGATGCAGTGCTCCAGAGAGTGGTATGTACAGAGTGTACTACATATGAAGGTATAAGGAATGTCTTCAGGTGACAGGCTCCCTCTAATCTCTTACAACTATTACATGTATAAATAAATACCTCTTTCTGGTTCCTAATGGAGTGTCATCATTGACTTTCATTGACTTTCTTCTGCTCCTATAATTTTCTCTGTGGCAATACCTCTCTTCAACTGCAAAAGATCTTGATATCCAGATATAATGGATTGTACTTTTTACCCAGGTGCCACTATCAGAGTTCTTTATCTCCCTGAACATATGATGTTCCATGCACAGGACCATGAACCAATCATGGTCAATGGAGGTGTTTTCAAGGCTAGTTTGGAAATTAGGAGATGCACAGGAGCTCACGGTAATGAACATGGGCCTGACAGTGCTCCAAAGCCATAAATGCCACCAACGAAAAAGGTTGGAACAAATACTTAAAAAGCCTTTTGTAATAAAGCAGAGATAAGGGTGGAGAAAGGATATATTTTTAGAGTTTTTATCAAATTCTTAATGTAGCCCTGGCTTTGATTTCCCATTATCATATCTAATATACCCTTTTGCATTAACTAGCCTGACTAGTTTTCAGTACCTTAAGACAAAAGTTATGAATGACCCAAGAATTCATGGCTAAGCAAAAATAAAACCTCCAGTGTGAAAAGAGAGGAAGCAGAAGCAACAAGGTTTCCCATGAAGGTCTGTAGTTTAAGACACTCCCGGACTGAGTTCTCGCCCCTTAAAAAGAGGCAAGAAGATGGAAACTCATTGTGCACCCTATGTGCAGCAGGTTTTCTGGACACCACAGCTTCATGAAACTCTGTGTCTGTGAACATCCCAAGAGGTGAAATCAGGAATCATAACTAAGACCTTGTGCCTTCAAGGAGATGACTATCATTTCCTCAAGTTTTTGAGGCAGAGGCTTTGAGAGTTCTGCACTTTCTTTTCTTATAGACATGCAATCACGGAAGTATGGATTCAAAATGTATCCCATAGAAAGGAATTAGGAGTTAGATTTAGGATTCTTCTTCTATGTTATAATCCCTATGTCCTCCTAAGAAAATGCTTAGTTCAAATATCCATAAAAACAATATTTATGCTGAGAACAAAAGTGAAATTAATTTGATCACACAAGCTGCCTACCTTTACAGACACTGGAAAATGAATAAGGTAGAGGTCAACATAATCCAATTGAAGATTTTTCAGTGACCTTTCCAAGGCTGGTCGGACCAACTCTGGTCGATGGGAATTGCACCAAAGCTGCAGAGGTTAGAGAAAGGAAGTTGTGTAATGAAAACTTGAGCCAATTTTACTAGTTTGCTCCACCTAATATTTAGACATTTTCTACTACTTCAAAACTAATGACCACAGGCAAAATTATTCTCTCTCTTCTTGTGATGCCTTTTGTTCTGCCATATCATGATGAACTTTATAATATGTTGGATATATAGTTAGTACATATATTGAATGAAAGAGTGAAATTACTCAAAAGGTAAAAGTTGTTATCAAATCATAAGCATACCCATTATCTGAATTATCTTTGGTAAGTTTTACAACTCATGTTAGTAGTGTAATTATTTCATCTATTCAGCCCAATGGGCAAGATTAAGTATCTTTGTGGTTTAGAAACTGAGGAAGCAAACAGAGTTTTTAATATGTCAACTTGGGCTGGACACAATTTGAGATAATGTAGGCGTTATTCTTTAATACTCACAGAGCTTGCTTATATTGCTTTCTCTCTCTATGATCAACATAATAATGGAAACTGAGAATCATAACAAGTGTAAGAAACTCACCCAGGAGGTAAGAAATAATATAATATGATTAGGATTTTTTCTGATTCTATAGTCTATGTTAAACCATATTGATCTGTGCTGAGCTCAAAAAGTAAAGGCACTTTGAAGGCATGAATTGGAACACTGCAAAGATGAGAAAGCCATCTTCACTTCCTGCCTTTGATATTAGTTTTAATACATGAGTAAGTGTGAATAAATCGTAATAAATAAGCACAATTCACCCTATACTATGGATCCAGTCATAGAACTGCCACCTCCACACAATCACAATAAATACATGTGCACACAAGCTCATCATAGGCACAGTACCTTTGAAGTGTAGAATATGTCTTCTCTCTTCACACTGCCATCTGCAATCTTGCTTCGGATGGCCAGTCCAACCTGCTCCTCATTATTGTATAAATGAGCAGAATCAATATGGCGGAAGCCAGCTTCAATTGCCAATTTGGTGGCCTCTAAAGCTTTACTTTTAGGAACCTGGGGGAGTAACCATAGGTAGTATTTTCTGACTAATGTGCCTGAGAGTTAGTTCAGGCACAAGTAGCGACGTTCACAAAAATCAGCTTTTCCTCCTTTCTTGGATGAGTTCTGTATGTAGAATCATGAGCCCATCCCAGTCTCCCTGGGTCTTTCCCAGTTAGTAATAAAGGTTGGGCACAGCAGGAACTTCTGCAGTCCCAGAAAAATCACTGCTTGACCACTAGTTTGGAAGTGTCCCCAAAACAATTTCAGGTTCAGTCATTTTTTGGAAAAATTAACAGGATGCAACCTATAGTTATAGATATAATCTTAATTATTTTTAGTATGGTAAAATTAACACAAGGAATGGCCAGGCGTGGCGGCTCACACCTGTAATCCCAGCACTTTGGGAGGCCGAGCTGGGCGGATCATGAGATCAGGAGATCAAGGCCATCCTGGTTAACAACTCCATCTCTACTAAAAATAGAAAAAATTAGCCGGGCATGGTGGCAGGCGCCTGTAGTCCCAGCTACTGGGGAGGCTGGGGCAGGAGAATGACGTGAACCCAGGAGGCGGAGCTTGCAGTGAGCTGAGGTCGCACCACTGCACTCCAGCCTGGACGACAAAGCGAGACTCCATCTCAGAAAAACAAAACAAAAACCAAACAAACAAAAAAAGAAATTAACACGAGGAAATAGCCACATGGAAGGAAATATGAAGGAATACAGTGTAAGCTCCTGTGATTCCTCTCCCACCATATTGCACAGAATGCACTGACTTTACCCGGAATCATATTTTGTCAATGTATGTGAACTGTTGTCTACAAGAGATGCTCTCTACATACTCCATTACTAAGATTTTGTCTGGGACTGGTTACATTGACTCACTCTGCTTCGCAGGCACAAAACTTCCAAAAGTCTCCAAAAGGAAAGCAGGTGCACAGAAACTCCGCAGTTTGCACAAGCAGTTACTTACAGCCACCATTCTTATCAGTTAGGAAATAGTGAGAAATCCACCTTATCAGATACCAGCAGGTTTATATGGGAAACAGGCCTGTCTATGGATAGCAGTCTATTATGTCAAGTCTTTTCTACACAGCCATTAGCCATTCTGTCGGCATGACAGAACTAAATAGTAGGTGTAAAAATGTATACTCTAAGGATATTGATTTGTATAAGAAATAGACTGCAAGGAGTAAGTGATTAGCAAAATGGGGTTCAGTTCCATAAGTTCAAGGCAACTCTTTTAGGAAACATATGATTGCAGTGAAATTTACAATTATTGACTTACGTAACAAATTTGGATACAGATTTGAAAGTATATCTTTTAAATGACAAAAACAGAAACAAAGCAAACTGTTTTCCTATCTGGAAAGTATTTCAGAGGCTTTCTTTTTCCCATAGAATTACAAGGAACTAGATACTGGGTCTCACAGCCCTCTCCTCATACCATCCTTGATCATTTCTTTGCTGTATGAGTACTCAAAGGCTTACCAAAGCTGGAGCTTTAGTGGTATCCTCATCTTTACTTCCTCTCCATGTCAATTTATATTACAAAGTAAACCACTCCTGTCAATGGTCTTCAAAATGTCCCTTTGTAAATCCTTATATTGTATAGATCAGAAATGTGAAACCCAAATTTTATGTAACTAGTCCCTATTCACACACATTGTATTCCCAAGACAGTCTTGAGATACAAGTTTTCTTCCAGTGTAGAAATAGCTAAGTCTAGAAAAGAAAATCTATTCCATTAATTTTCCTGTCAGAGAAACAAGAAATTTTTCTGTTACAATATTTTGATACAAATTTGACCCATATTAACAAAGAAAAAGAATTTAAATTTTCCTTGTTAGGTTCTAGTATTTTTTTTTTCTTAAAATGAGGATATTTTATCGTTTCAGGTAATTTTCCCAGAGGTGAGAATAGTACATGAGAAATTCTCTTTAGGCCAGGTCTAGTATTACAGTGTGGTGCTCAAGGCCGCCCATCAGAACAGTGATACTCTCCCAACAGATTTCATCCACCCCGTCTCCACTAACTTTTGCCATAAAAATTCCTCTGAATTGTATCTTCTTGGAAGAAGTAAATATCTGTTCGACTATACAAAGAAACAGAGAAACCACTCCCATTGCAATCAATCTTCAAGAGAGGGAGCAGGCAAGCCGTGTTCTTTCTGCTGAGTTGTATAGACTCTGACAAGCTGTGAAATAAACATAAACAGAAGACAAAACAGTGCCACAAATAAGCAGTAGATGACCCTGTGACAAGATGGCATTGCAGAACAAAGACTGACGTTTAAAGGGGAGTCATGCAGAGTAACATAGGAACACAAGCCTGACAACCTGGTCAGCTTCCACTTACTCTAGCTCCTTTGAACTCTCAACACTAAAAATATTATTGTTACCTCTGCAGGCGCATAGGTGCCAAATCCCAGGACAGGCATGAAGTGACCATCATTCAGCTTCACACACTGATATTTCGAATCCATTTCTGTCACTAGCCTGGCTGGCAAATGTTTCTTTCTTCCTCCCTCACAGGCTATAAGAGCAATGAGCTGGCAACGCCCCTGAGCACACTGTCTGCTGGTTAACCAATGGCATGTGAGAGGAGGGACAGAGGCAGTCTTACACAAGCTGTGATAAAAATTGCATCCAGTTCAACCGTTTCTTACCTAAGAAAATTCATAAGTAAATTATTATGTGGTCATGATACACTCATTAATTTCCTCTGAAGTATTTTTGCTATTCCAGATCTCTATATATGAGACATAAATTACTCAAAGAGATTTGTAGAACAAATTGTGACTTTACATAAGAATACAGAAACCTCTAGCGGCACAGCTCTTTTTTGTTTGTGTCATGATGATGAGTTCCTTCTGCATCTTGCAGCATTTGAAATGACTAATTTTCATTTTTCTCTCTCTCACACACACAATTTAAAGGAATGACTAATGAGCATTTCTTTAAAATATTGCCCTCAATTAAAAATTAAAGTTAAAATTTTTTAATGCATTACTTTTTTCATCAGCAAATTTATTGTTCCTTTCTTATTAGCCTTGTAAGAGAAACATCCCTTCCTGATCAAGGTGCAGTCCTGATAAAGTTGTAATCCTGATGTGGGTGTAAATAAAAAAGAAAATATGATGTGGTTTTATTGGAAGATTTCTTATTAACAGCTTTTGGACTTTGGATATAATTTGTAACATGCAAACAGTGCCTTATTTGTCTTTTCCAGCCATTTTTATGAATTGCTACCAAAAAGTAACAAGCCAAAATATGATAACTATTAGATATACTTTATAATATTGCTAAACATTATTCATAAAGAAAAACTGGTAACTAATGACATATAAACTGGTGAATAATCCTCGCATGGGATAATTTTTACTTTATTCTCCCTTTGGAGGTCAGGTTAAAACATGATTGTAATTTGCATGATCCATGATTCACATCTTGGAGTAGTCACAACTTGCAGTGCCCTGATTGCTTCTATTTGCTTTTTCATAAAACAAACAGAAATTGAAAAATAGGTAAATTGTTATCATTGACATAAATGTAATATTATAAAGATATTGAAATTTTTCACAGAGTAATTTCAACAAGATGGTGGATTCTAAGATTCCCATATAACTCATGGAAACATCAGAAAATACCTAAAATTGACTGAAATAAACTTATTTATTTCTGGAGTGGCTCAGTAGAGATTCAGGGTGACTATACACATACAGATGTTATAGGCAAAAGGCCAGGGGAAGAGACATGCAATAGTCCATCTAAGCCATTGAGGAGAAACTGGGATGCGAAATTTCATAATAGTAAGCAATTCAAAAGCCATTGGTTATTTGGGGATACATAAAAGGGCAAACACAGTCCACGTAGGTGCATGTTCAGAAACAAACTAAGAAGGACTTGAGGTTTTATGTAGGGCTGATGCCTTGACTGAGAACCTGCCACACATATAAGTTAATGACTGTCATGACATAGAACAAATCTATATACAGTAAAAAAGATGTTTATTTTTTCAAATGCCCAATTAGATAAAATAACAAGGCATACAGGCCTGGAGCAGTGGTAATCCCAGCACTTTGGGAGGCCGAGGCGGCCAGATCACGAGGGCAGGAGATGGAGACCATCCTGGTCAACATGGTGAAATCCTGTCTCTACTAAAATAAGAACAACAACAACAAGAACAACAACAACAACAACAACAACAAATAGTCGGACGTGGTGGCGGACGCCTGTAGTCCCAGCTGCTCGGGAGGCTAAAGCAGGGGAATCGCTTGAACCCAGGAGGCAGAGGTTGCAGTGAGCCGAGATGGCACCACTGTACTCCAGCCTGGCGACAGAGCAGGACTCTGGCTCAAAAAAATAAAATAAAATGACAAGGCATACAAGGAAACAAGAAATCACAGTTCATTATGAGAAAGAAAATAAATTAGTAGAAATCTTTCCTGAAGAATCACAGGCATTAAAATTAGTAGAGAAGCATTTAAACAGCTGCTTAAATATGCTAAAATTGCTAATGAAAAATATGGACTAAGAACTACAGAAAATCTGAAAACAATAAGAAAATCACGATACAGTAGTAATATAGAAATTATAAAAAAGGAAAAAATTGGAGCAAAAAAAGTACCTGAATGAAGAACTCACCAGAGGGTGTTTCAATAGCAACTTTGAGCAGGATGAAGATATAATCAATACACATAGGGATAGCGCATTTGAAGTTCCTGAGTCTAAGGACACGAAACAAGAATAAAGAAATGTGAACCGGTCCTAAGGGACTTATGGGACAGCTTCAAGCCGACCAGTATGATAGTATTGGATTCCCAGAAGGAGAAGTGCAAACCCATGGTGGTAGACAGATTATTTGGAGAATAAAAACATCAAAACTTTTTCAAATTGGTTAAAGACAACAATCTACAAATTCAGGCCACTTAAAGAACTGCAAATAGTATAAACTCTAAGAGACCCAGATCTGTATGTGTTATCATCCAACTCTAAAAGCCAGACAAAGAGATAATCTTTAAATAGCAAGAGATTTTGGGAGCCGAGGCAGGCGGATCACCTGAGGTCAGGAGTTCGAGACCAGCCTGGCTAACATGGTGAAACCCTATTTCTACTAAAAATACAAAAAATTAGCCAGGCATGGGGGTGCACACCTGTAATTCCAGCTACTCAGGAGGCTAATCCCGGAAAATAGCTTGAACCCAGGAGGTGGAGGTTGCAGTGAGTCGAGATTGCACCATTGCACTCCAGCTTGGGCAACAAGAGCAAAACTCAATCCCCCCTCCCAAAAAAAAATATCTCACACCAGTTAGAATGGCGATCATTAAAAAGTCAAGAAACAACAGGTGCTGGAGAGGATGTGGAGAAATAGGAACACTTTTACACTGTTGGTGGGACTGTTAACTAGTTCAACCATTGTGGAAGTCAGTGTGGTGATTCCTCAGGGATCTTGAACTAGAAATACCATTTGACCCAGCCATCCCATTACTGGGTATATACCCAAAGGATTATAAATCATGCTGCTATAAAGACACATGCACACGTATGTTTATTGCAGCACTATTCACAATAGCAAAGACTTGGAACCAACCTAAAAGACCAACAACGATAGACTGGATTAAGAAAATGTGGCACATATACACCATGGAATACTATGCAGTCATAAAAAATGATGAGTTCACGTCCTTTGTAGGGACATGGATGAAACTGGAAACCATCATTTTCAGCAAACTATCGCAAGGACAAAAAAAACCAAACACCACATGTTCTCACTCATAGTGGGAATTGAACAATGAGAACACATGGACACAGGAAGGGGAACATCACACACCGGGGCCTGTTGTGGTGTGGGGGGAGGGGGGAGGGATAGCATTAGGAGATATACCTAATGCTAAATGACGAGTTAATGGGTGCAGCACACCAACATGGCACATGTATACATATGTAACAAACCTGCACATTGTGCACATGTACCCTAAAACTTAAAGTATAATAATAATAAAATTAAAAATAAATAAATAAATAAATAAAAAACAAAACAAAACAAAACAAAAAGTAGGAAGAGAAACAAGAATCATGGGGTACAAGGGATCCTGAACAAGGTGATCCACAGATTTCTTACGAGAGTCTTTGGAGGATATAGTAAGTGATACATTTAATGTGATCAATTAAAAAAAATTACAGCCAATAATTCCATATTTGGCAAAAAAAATTCTTTTTTTTTTTTGTGACAGAGTTTTGCTCTGTCACTAGACTGGAGTGCAGTGGTGCGATCTCAGCTCATTGCAACCTCTGCCTCCCAGGTTCAAGCAATTCTCCTGCCTCAGCCTCCTGAGTAGCTGGGACTACAGGCGTGCACAACCATGCCCAGCTAATTTTTGTATTTTTAGTAGAGACAGGGTTTCACTATGGTAGCCAGGATGGTCTCTATTTCTTGACCTTGTGATCCGCCCACCTTGGCCTCCCAGTGTGCTGGGATTACAGGCCTTAGCCACTGCACCCAGCCAAATTATTTCTTAAAAATTACAAAGTTAGTAAGACTATGTGATGTAGAAGCTGCAGGAGTTCATTGCCATTAGAACTGCTCTACAAGAAATGCTTAAGAGAGTCATTCACTTTGAAATGAAAGAAGTTTAGACAGCAACGTGAAGTCATATAGAGGTATAAAGACCTCTCGTAAAGGTAGGTGTATGAAAAACGTGGAAACATGTATTTGTGAAATTTGTTTTTTACTCTCATTTTCTTCAAGATTTACATTACAATAAGAATACCTTTCTGTTAACATGTACACCATGTATAAAGTTGCAATTAGTGACATCAATAATGTGAAGCAGAAAGGTACCTGTGGAAAAGAAGTTTTTGTATGGAATTGAAGTTAAATTCACATTGATTTCAAAGTGGATGGTATAACTATAGGATGCAGTATGTCATTCCAATGGTAACTACAGAGAAAATAATTACAGATTATGCACAAGAGAAATTGAAACGGGAATCCAAATTTTAGCAAAGAATCATAGAAACCCCAAAATATTGTTAGTTGAGGATATAAAGGAGAAAAAGCTGCAGACATAAATTTCAGGTCTTTCTTACATACAAAATCCAATCAGTTTACCTCAAGAGTCTCTAAAGCCTTATCAGGTTTAGAATCAACTTAAATGTCTAAAATGCAAAGATTTATCTGAGATCCAAGAAAAATTTCTACCAGCTATGAGCCTGTGAAATCAAAAACCAAGTTATTTCCTTCCAAATTACAATGGTTTTATAGGCAGTGGTTGAACAATCTCATTTCAAAAGGGAAATGTCAGCTTAAAGAGAAGAGGAAGAGGCTTCATGCAAGTCATAAAGCCGACAGGGCAGAAATTAAACCTTAAAGCTGCAAAATCATCTTCCTTGACTCTATATTCTTCATTCTGGGCACACTGGTGACAGGGGTAGGCTTCTGGGGGCTTTGGGAAGCACTGTACCTGTGGCTTTGCAGGGTGCAGCCCACATGGCTGCTCTCACAGTTTGGAGTTTAATGCCCATGGCTTTTCCAGGCTGAAGTTGTTAGCGCCTGGTAGATTTATAATTCTGGAATTTTGAGGGGTAAGGCCTTTCTCCCACAGCTTTGCTACACAGTGCACCCATGGAGACCCCCTGCAGAGCTCCAACCACATATTAGTGCTCAACATTGCCTAAATAAAAGCTTTATGTTGGGGATCCGGCCCTGGAACAGGATTCTCTCTGGGTATCCAGGATTCCTGACACATTGTCTGAAATCTAGGTGGCAAGTGCCAAGCCTCAACCACTCTTACACTCCAGAGGGCTCAAGCTTAAAGTTCCCCTCTTCTATTTGTCACTCTCTACTCATCATTTCCTCCAGTGACCAAGTGTGTGTCATGCACCTTGCCAAGGCTCAAGGGGTACCTTGTACATGGGGGCTTCTGCCTGACTAGTGTGGGTCGTGGAGTCGCTAAGAACTAAAACTTTCCACAGCTTGTTTACAATGTGGTGGAAAGAAACTGATCTCAGGAGACCACAGGAATTCTCAGTCCTACAGGTGAGGGAGAGGGAGAGGAATATGAGGAAAGGGAGATGGGAAGAGGATGGAAAGCAGATGGAAGATGGAAGATCAGGGAGGACAGAAGTGGGATGTCCTTGAGTCATACATAGAGAACACTCATGTGCCTCAAGTAAATAAATGATCCTAATTTCTTCTCACTATTTTTTCTGAACAAGTGTTACAGTTTGCAAAGAACTCCGAATATTTTCTCAACAAATATATATTGATATGATACTTTAAACAAAATGATGTTTGCCAGCACTGTTTGTCCTGAGATTTCCTGTTTGGTTGACTCAATTCTCTGGGGTGAAGAGGTTCTATGTGAACAAAAAGGGGTACACTTGAGCCTCACAGAGGCTTGTGGGTGAAGTCATGTCTGTGAGAGGCTGTGGAAGCTCACAGTTAGCCTGCATTGCTGTGGAAAATGGTGGGATGCCAAAAGCCGTGCAGGAGGAAAAAGGAAGAGCTGGGAGGCTGTGGAAGAGGCTGAGGTGCTGCTGATGCCCTGGAGAAAAGTTTGGGGAAAAGACAGAGGTGCCTAAGGCAATATGTAGGAAGTTTTAATTATGACATTAGTTGAAATTTCACAACCCATGAAATTTAAAGTAAATTCCACCTTGCTCAGTTTTTTCATAGAGGGAACTCTGTTTGAAGAAACAACTGTGTCACCAATGTTGACTCTGGATGAGTGACAATTCCACTGAGCACTTTTTGAGACGTCTGCCTTGTCTGCACTGTTTGCTATTTTACTATTTCTCGATACTATTGTTCACCCCTACAATCTACTCGGGTTGATGCAGTCAGGGTGACTCAGCAGCTTGCACACCTTGCGACCACTCCTGGATAGGTCAACAAGCAGGGGAGGTTGTAAAGAGAAAAGTATTAATATTATAGTTGTTTTGGTTAGCATAAAACCAGGTGAGAAAAACCTATTTCTGAATGGTTTAAACTCCATGTGATATGGACAGGAGACAGGGAAATACTGGGTAGAAGAGGGTGGTTTCCCAGCAAAGGCCCCACCTTCAAGCCTGGATAGCCGTGCCCCTAAATGAGAACAGGCATTTCAGTTTTCATGCCCCGAAAATTTGCCTTTTGGCCCACCACACCTCCATTCTGCTGCTATAAAAACCCCCAAAACCTAAGTTCCTGGGCAGACCAGCAGGTGAAGAGACAAGGAGGCAACCAGATGGACGGCAGAACAATGACACACAGAAAGAGAGAAGAGGAGGGACATTGGACACTGAAAGGAATTTGGCCTAGGAGGATTGGAGAAGAGTCCGGCCACTGGGCAGCCTGACTCCAAGGAAAGATCACCTTCCTACTCATTCCCCCATTCCGGCTCCCCATCCATCTTGCTGAGAGCTGCCTCCACCACTCAATAAAATCTTGCCCTCATCCTTTGAGCCCACATGTGATCTGACTCTTCTGGGATGCCTGGCAAGAGCTTGGGATATAGAAAGCTGTCACACTGGCCCTCTGCCTTTGAGATAAGTCAGAGGGTCCATGGAGCTGCAGACTCAAGCCGTCTGCAGATGGCAAAGCTGAAAGAGCTTTACAACACTGTGGTTGCAGGCACCCACCACTAGACACTACCATGGAGCCAGAGCCCAAAGCGCTCGCCCTGGCCTGTGCACCTGCCCATCTCCATGCTCCCCCTCCCTCAAGCAGTTTGAACCGGTGAGCCACACCCCTCGCAAGTCCTCCAAGGGGAATCAGGAAACTGTCTCATTACATATACAAATCTGTTAGCACCATGTGAAGAAGTCTGAGGAATGGTAAGCTCTCGGGGTCGCCCAAGAGAGTCTGTAACTTCTCTCATCTTTTCCTGACTCTTCTTCCTCTATGTATTGATGTCATCCTCAGGCTGGGTGGAGGCTGCTGCAGCAATTTTAGAACTCCCAGGGCAACAGGACAAGAGCCACTTTAAGAAGAGGGGCTGCCACATCTTAAAAGCTTCTTTCTAGATGTGAGAGATACCTTCTCAGAAGCCTGCAGCACAGTCCCTCTCATGCGGTGTTGGCTAGGGCTGGGTTGCAGCACTCTTCCCACTGTAGCTCATGCCAAGGGCAAGGAAATAAACATGAGTGACCTTAGCAAAGCTTTTCTCATAAAATGCATGTTGGTGATAATACAATCCTAACCCCTAAACCATAATGAAAAATTGATATTTTCAAAAAGTTAGACATTTGCAACCTTGCTTATGCCTCAAAATAGCTTTGCAAGCTTTTAAAACAACTGGAAATAAATCAGTCTTAAATGTAAGACCTGAGACTATCAAGTGCTAGAAGAAAATCTAAGGAAAACTTATTGGGGCAAAAAATTCTTAAGTAGGTCCTGGCAAGGAACTCAGACTAAGATTTCAAAAACACAAATGAGAGAATAGGAAGAGACGCATATGACTTAATTAAACCAATAAGCTTCTGTAAAGGCAAAAAAAAATAAAATAAAATCAACAGAGAACAGACAACCTATACAATGGGGGAAAATAATTGCAAATTGTGAATCTAACAGGGGACTGATATCCAGAATTTATAAGGAACTCAACCCAACAACAATAATTACAACAAAACCCAAATAACCTCTTTAAAATTCATCAAAGAGCAGAGGTTTCCCAACTCCATGCCTAGGCACACCTATAGGCACTTGATATCTGCCCACTGGATCCTCCGTCTTCCACTGGTGGAGACTCAGAAGGCTGGGAGGCTGGGAAATTTTTGGGTAAGTACAATGGACATTATTCAGGTGATAGCTACACTAAAAGCCCAGACCTCACCACTGTGCAATATATCTATGTAGCAAACTGCACTTGTAAACTTTAATTTTATACAAATCCAAAAACAAAATAAAGGAAACATAGTGATACCTAAACTTTTCTACAGATCAAATGAATAAGAATCTCTGGTGTAGGATTTTAGCTTTTGGCTAGATGATCTACAAAAATACAATCAGGGCAATTTGTTCTGGCTATAAGCAGATTGATCCAGTTTGTTTGCTATAAGCACAGATCAATAGGTACAAGGACAAGAGACCCCAACCAGCAGAAAACCTAAAGGAGAAATTTAGAGAGAATGAGTGTAGTCTGAGGATTTCAATTTACTTTATTATGTAAGCAAATCTGAATATGTAAACTTGTGTGGAGATTGAAAGAATGGAAAGAGGAAACACGAGAGACCCAATGACCGAAACCCTTAATGAATTTGGAAAGAGGAAACATGAGAGACCCAATGACCGAAACCCTTAATGAATTAAGAACTTGATGAACTGATGTGTAGTGAAAATCGAAGCGTAAGAGGCTTCATTAGTATGAAGTGTGTTAAAGTTAAAGGTTCATAGAGCAGTTATAAGTACTTCTTTGTCTGTATAAGTTATAGCATAGAAGTAGTTGCCTGAAGTATAATCTAAGTATGAGTAGAAACTTTCAGTTGTTGAGAATGTAAAGAACAGCAATGCTGGAGTTCTCTGCATGTACAGTGAAAAAAGATATTCACAAATCCTGGGAGAAATGGTAAACTAAGGGAATAAAGGGACTATGACTAGAAGGGGACATATGATAGGGTATAAATGATATCAGAGCTAAGGAACAGGTTTTTATTTCATTATATCTGAGATGAAATCTAGATTTTTCAGGACCTAGTGGCTGGTGATATAGTACTTTCTATTAGCAAGGCTAGAAAATTAAGGCTTACTTGCTTCAAGTTCTCCACAAAGCTAGTACAGTAGGCTCAATACTGCTCCCTCCCCCTGCCCTGCCAATAACTCATGCCTTTATCTTTGGAAGCTGTGACTATGTTACCTGACCTGGCAAAACAAACTTTGCAGATGTGATTATGTTAAGGATCCTAAGATAGAAGCGTTTCCTGAATCATCTGGATAGGCAATGTCATCTCAAAATCCTTACAAGTGGCACCCAGGAGGGCCACAATCAAAGAGGATGTGTAAGGAAAGACGCATAGGACAGAGATCCTAAGATGCCATGTAGTTGGCTTTCAAGATAGAATAAGTGCCATGAGCCAAGGAACACATTCTCTGGAACCTGGAATGGCCCAGAATAGCATTTTCCCCTAGACCCTCAAGAAGAAATACAACCTTGTGGACACCCTGACTTTAGCCTGTTGAACCAGATTTTGGAATTCTGATTCCAAATTCATTGGAATTTGAGAAAATTATGATGTTTCATAATTGATGAACTGTGAGAAAATTAATTATGGTGTTTCAGGCCACAACATTTGTGATATTTTTTTACAGCAGAAATAGGAAATGAATGCAAACATGATTCAGCAATTCTGATCCTCTCTCTCCTGCATCATCAGTTTTTCTCTTTCTACTAGATTCTTCCTAAGAGCATATAGGCATGCTGTTTTTTCTGCCATCTCAAAGAAAATTGTCATCTCAATTGTCAGGTGTATTTATAACCCATTCTTTGAATACTTTCTACACTTCTGTATCATTCTTCTCTTCCTACACTTTTTTGAATGCACCTCTATTCAGGCTGTTGCCTTTACCAATTTATCAAAATTGGGACAAGGGAGAGGATGTTGAAAATAACTAATGAGTACTAAGCTTAATATCTGGGTAACAAAATAAGCTGTAGAACAAACCCCCATGGCATGAGTTTACCTTTATAAAAAACCTGCACGTGCACCCCTCAACTTAAAATAAAAGTTAAAAATATTGAAAATTAAAAAAGTTTTGGAGACCTAAATTACATTATTTAATTCTAATTCTGAACAATTAACTTATTTAATATTTATGAAACAATTCTGATACTAATTCTGAACAATTACATTATTTAATATTTATGGAAAAGTTAAATTAAAAGAAATACACATAACAGTGTCATGGCTAGCCTTTGACATTCTCTTAAAAAATTAAAGCACAACATACTGAACAATTACATTATTCTAATGTAAGGAAGTGTGTGAAGAGCACAAAGTCAGAAATGGCCCCAGTGGCCCTAAGGGCTCATCTGGTTGTAGATGGGCTTGTACTTGAGTCCTGGCTTGTCTGAGGATCAGTTCCAACAGTTAGTGATTGAAACTGGACACCCTGATGGACTTCATTAAACCTGCATCTCTGCATTTCTCCAGGGCCTAGGAAAGAAGGAAATGGGTGTAGATCTTCAATGTATCTTGGCTTTGTCACTTGTCATTAAACCTTTTCTTTAGTGTGGTAAAATATATATAATATACAATTCATCATTTAACCATTTTGAAACGTATAGTTTATTGGCATTAAGTCCATCCACTTTACTGAGCAAGCATCACCAGTATACGTATACTACAATTTTAATCATCCCAAACTAAAACTCTACTGACTAAACAACAATTTCCCATTTCCCCCTTATTTCATCCTCTGGCAACCACCATTCTACTTCCTGTCTTTGCATTTAATTATTCTAGGCACCTCACATAGTTGGAGTCATACAGTGTTTGTCCTTTTGTGTCTGGCTTATGTAGCTTAGTAAAATGTCCTCAAGGTTCAACCATATTATTGCACGTATCTGAATTTCCTTCCTTTTTAAAACTAAATAATGTCCCTTTGTGTGTAGACACAAAACTCTGTTTATCCTTTCATTTGCTGATGCTCACTTGCATTTTCACCTTTTGATTATTGTGAATAAAATTATTATGAATAAGGTTATCATGAATACTAACATTGCTTCAAAAACATGTTTTAGTTTCTGCTTTTAATTTATTTAGGTATTGTGAGCCCCAAATATCTGAGACATGCCCCAGTCAATTTAGAAATTTAGTTTTCCAAAGCAAAACCTCTCTCCTATTGTCCAGGCTGTCCTCTGCTATGGTTACTGGGCTCGTTTTCAGCACAAAGGTCTCAGTGTTGTGTTATACTTTCCAAGTGAGCCTTCAGGCCTTTTCCTTTTATATATTTTTGCAAGAAAGTTAATGAGGCATCTCATCCGAAATGCATGCTATCATGTGTATATTTTGGCATTGGTTGAACAAGGTGTGTCGGCATCCAAACCACGCCTTCATCAATTAGTTTTCAACCTTTCTTATCTTGAATACATCCTCTGTCCTTGGTAGCCTTTTTATCCTCAAGAGGATACTGGGATTTGAAAGCTGTCAGATCTATTTGGGGAATTAAAGATGCCTGGACCTCAGCACTGCTGTTGGTTGTGTGCCTGGCTGTGCAGTCAGTGAAAGTGTTCCCTCTAGCTAGATTGGAATTCCTGTGCTGATGGCAATGGACAATGCCTAACAGCTATTTCCCTTGGGGTTGTCACCACCTCCAATAGCTCCAACGTGGCTCTGCATATTTAATTTTAGTATTACACATGTTTAGCAGTCCCCTTTCCTTGCAAATAGCTCTGTGTGCATGGACTATCATGAAAGAATATTTGGAATCAGTTTAGATATTGGTTCTCTTCCCTTTGGTCAGTTGCAAGGCTCTCATAAGGGCGATTTACTCAGCCTTTTGCACAGAAGTCCCTGTTGGGAGAGCTCTTGCAGCTATCACCTCCGAGAGAGACACTATAGCCTAGACAGTATTCCTCCTTCTGTTGGTGACCAGGCTGCTTCTGTCCACAAAGAGCATCCAGTCTCTACCCTGGAGGGCTGTGTCCTTCAGATCTGGTTGACTGGAAGACTCTTGATCTATAACCGCTAGGGAGTTGTGTACTAGTTCCTTTGGTTGTCCAGTAGGTGTCAACTAAGTGGCAGAGTTTAAGGCTCCAGTGGCTGGCCTGTAGTTTACTTCAGGATCATTAAGGAGGATAGCCTGATACTTGCCTAATCTGCCCACCATTAGCCAGTAGCCATCCTTCTGCTCTAATAACTCCAGGACTTCATGGGGCACATAAATCGTGATGGGCTGACCTAAAGTCATCCTCTTAGCTTCCTTGAGCAACAGGCAGGTGGCAGCTACTGCGCTGAGACAACGGGGCCAGCCCTTTGTCACTGAATCAAGCTGTTTTGAAAAATAAGCCACTGGTTGCAAATTTTTGCATTAGGACCCCAAGTGCTAGACCCAGTCTGTCATGCACATAAAGTTGGAAGGGTTTATGATAATTTGGCAGTCCCAAAGCTGGGGCAGATGTTAACTTATGCTTTAGTTGTTCAAATGCAGTCTGATGTTTTACTTCCCATACAAAGTGGTCGTGGTTGGCCCCTTTTAACAGTTCATATAGTGGCTTTACTGCCAGTGCCTAATTGGGAATCCAAATTCTACAGAACCCTGCATTCCCAGGAAGGCCCTCCACTACTTTCTGGTTCTGGGCATTGCGGCAGAGGCAATTGCATTTGGCCTCTCCTCTGCCAGGGCTCTGGTTCCTCTCTGTAATAGAAATCTTAAGTATTCTACAGTTTGTTTGCATATCTGTGCCTTTTTGCTCAAGACTTTGTACCCACAGGCTGCCAAATAGTTTAGAGTCTGTACAGTGTTATCTTGACACTCTTGCCTTGAGGGGCTTAAGATTAGCAGATCATCCACATATTGTAGTAGTGTCCCATTTTCCAACTGTAAGTCTCTTATGTTCCGAGCCACTGCTTCCCCAAATACAGTTGGGGAATTTTTAAACCCTTGAGGAAGCACTGTCCAACAGTATTGAAATCGTGCAAGCTGTTTCAGGGTCTGTCCACTCAAAAGTGAATAATAATTGACTTTCTGGGTCCACTGGTATAGAAAAGAAAGTATCCTGTAAATCTAACACTGTAGACCATTCATGGTCTCTGGGCAAGGAAGTAAACATAGTGTATGGATTGGTCGCAGTGGGGTGGATGTCTTCCACGATATCATTGGTCACCCTTAGATCTTTCATAAACCTGTACTTGTGTGAGTGAGGCTTCTTTACTGGCAGGATGGGTGTATTATACAAGGTCTGACAAAGTCTTATTAAGCCATGTCAAAAGAATCGAACCAGTACTGGCTGTATGCCTTCTAGAGTCTCTTTCTTTAGGGGTACTGTTTATTTTAATCAGGTCAGATACCTTCCTTTAGCCTGACTTTTATGGGATTCACATTAATTGTCCTCCCCAGTTGGTCGGAAGCCCATACTTCCGGCTTTACCTTATTGAGGACTTCCGGTGGAATCATCTCTACTTCAAGCTGTGGAGTTTTTGATTTCATCAGGAGGGCCTGTAGCTGCAATCTGGATTCTGGGGGTACCTGGAGGCACATTGGACGTTTCTCTGGTTCAAAGACAATTAATGCCTCTAACTTACACAAGAGATCTCTACCAAGCACAGAGGTTGGGCAGTCCCACACATAAAATAATTGATTAGCTATTATCAATACCTCATTGCCCACCTTGCAGGATAAGGGTCACAACCCCCCCCCCCCAACCAGTTTTAGCTCTCCATTCACCCCAACCATATTGACATAGGTGTCAGAAAGTCCACACTTTGGGATGTCAGTATCACCCGTATCAATTAAGAAGTCCAATTTTTGTTTCCCTACTGTCAGTTTTACCCGAATGTCCTGTGGTGAAATCCTAATGCTGGACAGGGTTGGAGCTTTTGGGAACTTTGGGCACCCTCGGTCCTCCTTGGATTTTTTCCAAACTTAACAGCCATAAGTGACTTGGGCTCCCCCTGACTCAGCTTGGGGCAGTCTTTCTTCCAAAGCACTGTCACCCTACAGTAAGCCCATTGATCTTTTTCTACTTTCCCTTTCCACCTTGGGGGTTCCTTTCTCTTCAGGTTTCCTCCCATGGCAGCTATGAGTATCTCTGCCTTCAGTAGTGCCTTGGTTTCCTTGGCTTCTCTGCTATTATAAGGCCTTGAACACAATGTCAATTAATTGAGAAGTGTTCATTCCAATAGCTCCCCTCCAGCTTTTGTAACTTCTTTGTGATGTCTGGGGCATTTTGCTCTATAAAAGTCATGTTTATCATTCTGACATTTTCAGGATCCTGCAGGTCTAAGTCTGTATGCTTTCTATATGTTTGACAGATACATCCATGAACTCTGAGGGAATCCTTGTTAGGCTTCTGCTGAAGCTCCTGCACTTTTTTCAGACTTTTAGGTCTCGGCACCCCTGACCTATCACCCTTTAGAATACTCCAGATGATTTGTCCAGGCCCCATCCTCCTCACTTGGGACCCAGTTTGGGTCAGCATGTAGAATCTTATCAGGGTCTGGGGTATCATCTGGGCTTTTTTCATGAAGACACCATGCTTCCTCCTTTCCATTGCCTAATGCTTGCTTTCTCTTGTCTGCAGTAAGCATAATATTTAGGAGGGCTTGCAAATTAGCCTAAGTAGGGTGATGGCTGGCAAAAATAGTGGTAAACAATTCAGTCATCTTCTGAGGATCTTCCCTGTAGAAAGGATTGGAAGTTTTCCAATTCAGTACATCAGATGTAGGAAAAGGCCTGTATGCCCAATAATATCGAGCTGAAGTCCCTTGCTGATTAATTCCCATGGGATATTGTCAGAGGGGAAATTGCCCTGCCCCAGCTTGGTAGATCTCCAGCCAAAATCAGTGCCTTGCCTAGTTCAGGAGGGAGAGACTATGTTTGCAGCCTCTTTATACTCCAGGGATGGTGGTTCCTCCACCTCTTGACTAAGTAATGTGGCACCAGTTTCAAGTGGGTTAAGCACATTTAACAACTGCTGACTCTCTAGCTCCTTTTCTTTCTCTCCCTGGGAGTCAGGACAAACTTTTTCCAAGTGGTGCACCATTAGTTTATTTCCTTTAACCTCTTGGTTATGTATCAACATAGATGTCTGAAAATAGGGTACTTTCTCTCATTTCCCTTAACACTGACAAAAAGTTTCAACGGAAAGATCATAAAATAGTTTAAAGATCTGAAAACAGGCCACTATTCTTTGAATCCTCATGTCAGGGCAGGAGCCCAACTTCCATTAGCTCTTGTTTGCAAACCCAGAGGGAATAATCACATTGGCCAACCAGCCCCTTTCTGTTTTTTGAAATTTTCCACTTTGCTGATTCCACTCAGTCCCTGCTCAGCCTTTCCCTCTCACCCGTTCTCCCTTAAAATGGTGAGTCACCTTGTATGAATCAAAGTTCAGTTCAGTCCATACTGGACCTCTTCCCTATTACAACACTGGATTACTAATAAAATCCATCGTCACCATTTTAACCAGTGTTCAACCTTGTTTATGTTCGACTTTAGCAATAGCAGAAATTTTTTCTAGCTTTCATAGTTAGTATCTACAGTCAGGTGAGAATGAAGGCTGACTAATATGACACTTACCTCTGGCTTCTAGTACTGAGCAGCAAGCTAAGTATTAGAGGTTTAAAAATATGATTAATTTCATAGCAAATTCTGGCATAAGTCAAAATAAGCACTTATATTTGATCATTAAAATATCAGGTCAATATCCACTTCATAAAGGAGATCATGTAACTGTAATTATGTTTCTTAAAGACTTCTGTTTAGAAATCATGTTTGCTTGATGTTCAAGTTTCTAGACTTCTCTAAGGGTCAATTGTTAAAACTGAGTTTTTTCTATTGCCAACAAGGATAGAGACTTTTCTTCTCTGCCCATTTCTTAGATTATTTCCTTGAGAAAAAATTGTATTTGTAAATCCTACCTCAGTCCCTTTGATATTCATGTAAATATTTTTAAAAGCCAACTAAGCCTCTTACCAGAATTGCAACATGTGAGTGTTTTGTTAAGGGTAAGAGAGCCAGCTCTTTGGAAATGTAAACATTAAAAAAGGAAAATTCCTATCTCCCTGGGTCCCTTGCTCCAAGCTACAACTGCCTGCTTGTCATGGAGAAATGTCATTTTTCCTAGTGATACAGGTGATTGACTAGCACAGATGGCTAACCCAATTACCAGGTGAATTTGGGATGAAGCCATGAAAGAATGTTATCAAAAAACAGTGTTGTTAGGCCTTCTTATGTGAGGACCAGTTATCATTTATCATGAGAAGATGTGTGTAAAGGCTGTACTCCTTGGCTTTTTAAAGAGGTCAGATTCATTTCTGCCTTTTAATCTCATTAGACCTTACCTGTGGTGCACATTGCAGTGTGGTTTAATGCCTTTTGAATAAGAAAATTATTTTCTTTCTTTTCTACATTTTTATGGAGGAGTTTTTTAGATTGGCAGGAGATTTCATTTTTAACATTATTCTCCAGTATAAAGGAAAACATACTTGACAGTTATGTACCAAATTAGGTAAAAGAAGATTGATATTGGATGTCCCCAGGGGCTCATAATTTCTACCTGTAGTAACATAACTTTCCCCTGTTTTCTGTAGACACAGAACTTCCCTCCCTTACACAGACTCCTCATTGGTACAGCCCAATTACATCCACTGTCCTAAGCATATGGACCCCCTATCTATCTCAATTCCACCCCCAGTGATTCACTGAGGGAGCAGTTCCAGCCTTGGGTCCCCAGATGATGTAAGGCATTGAAAACCCCACCTTCCCATAGAGGGCCAAGAGCAGAGCATGGGCATATTTGATTAGTACTGAGGAAATATGAGAGTAGGGAAACTTTGCTGTGACTGTATTCTTGTGCATTAGTGCATTCTCACACTGCTATAAAGAACTACCTGAGACTGGGTAATTTACAAAGAAAAGAGGCTTAATTGACTTACAGTTCCACAGGCTGTACAGAAAGCATGGCTGTGGAGGCCTCAGGAAACTTACAATCATGGAGGAAGGCAAAGGGGAAGCAAGCACATATTCACATTGCTGGCAGGGGAGAGAGAGAGAGAGAGAGGGAGGGAGAGAAATAGAGAAGAGGGAGGTGCTACACACTTTCAAACAACTAGATCTCATGAGAACCATATGATGAGAACAGCAAGAGAGAAGTCAGCCTCCATGATTCAGTCACCTCCCACCAGGCCCCTCTTCCAACAGTGGGAACTACAATTTCACATGTGATTTGGGTAGGGACACAGAGCCAAACCATATCACTCCGCCCCAGCCCCTTCCAAATCTCACATTCTTCTCACATTTCAAAAGACAATTATGCCTTCCTAACAGTCCCTGAAAGTCTTAACTTATTACAACATTAGATCAAAAGTCCAATTCTAAAGTCTCATCTGAGACAAGGCAAGTCCCTTTCAACTATAAGCCATAAAATCAAAACTAAGTCAGTTACTTCCTAGACACAATACGGGTATGGGTACTGAATAAATGCTTCTGTTCCAAAAGGGAGAAACTGGCCCAAACAAAGGGGCTACAGGCCCCATAGAAGTCCAAAACCCGGAAAGGCAGTCAATAAATTTCAAAGCTCCAAAATAATCTCTTTTGACTCCATGTCTCATATCAAGGCCACACTAATGCAAGAGGTGGGCTCCCAGGGTCCTGGGCAGCTCTACCCCTGTGGCTATACAGGGTAAAGGCCCCATGGCTGCTTTCACTGGCTGGCACTGAGTGTCTGCCGCTTTTCCAGGCACACAGTACAAGCCTTCAGTGGATATACCATTCTGGGTTCTGGAGGATGGTGGCCCTCTTCTCATAGCTCCACTAGGCAGTGCCCCAGTGGGAACTCTGTGTGGGAACTCAAACCCCATATTTCCCTTCCACATTGCCCTAGCAGAGGTGCTTCATAAGGGTTCCATCTTCACAGCAGCCTTCTTCCTGGATATTCATGCATTTTTAAACGTTCTCTGAAATCTAGGCAGAGGCTCCCAAACCTCAACTTTTGGACTCTGAGAACCTGCAGGCTTAACACTACATGGAAGTCACAACACACTGGGGCTAGCATCCTCTAAAACAATAGCTCAAGATGTGTCTGAGGCCCTTTTAGCCATGGCTGGGGCTGAAGTGGCTGGTATGCAGGGTGCCGTGTCCCAAGGCTTCACAGAGCAGTAGGGCCCTGGGCTTGGCCCATGAAATTATTTTTCTCTCCTAAACCTCCAGGTCTGTGATAAAAGGGGCTACCTTGAAGGTCTTTGAAATATCCTGGAGGCATTTTCCCCATTGTCTTGTCTATTAACATTTGGCTCTTCTTTATCTTGCAAATTTCTGCAGCTGGCTTGAATTCTTCCTCAGAAAATGAGTTTTTCTTTTCTACTACATGGTGGGGCTCAAGTTATTCAAACTTTTATGTTCTGCTTCCCTTTTAAATGTAACTTCCAGTGTCAGATAATCTCTTTGGGCATGCATATGAGAATATGCTGTTAGAGGCAGGCAGGACACATCTTGCTTCCTTTGACACTTAGAAATTTCTTCAGTCAGGTACCCTAAATCATCTTGCTCAAGTTCAAAGTTCCACAGATCTCTAGGGTAGGGACATGATGATGCCAATCTTTTTGCTAAAGCACAGGAAGAGTGACCTTTACTCCAGTTCCCAATAAGTTTCTCATCTCCATCTGAGAAATCCTCAGCCTGAACTTCATTGTCCATATCACTATCAGCATTTTCTACAGAAGTATCCAATTCTCTAGGAAGTTTAAAACCTTCCTTCATCTTTCCATCTTCTTCTGAACCCTCCAAACTCTTCCAGTCTCTGCCTACTATCCAGTTCCAAATTTGCTTTGACATTTTCAGGTATCTTTATATCAATGCCTCACTATTTGGTACCAATTTTCGGTATTAGTTTATTCTCCCACTACTATAAAGAACTACCTGAGACTGGGTAATTTACAAAGAAAAGAGGTTTAATTGACTCACAGTTCTGCAGGCTGCACAGGAGGCATGGCAGGGGAGGCCTCAGGAAACTTACCATGATGGAGGAAGGTGAAGGGGAAGCAAGCATGTCTTCACTTGGCTGGCAGGAGAGGGGGAGGTAGAGAGAGAGAGAGAGAGAGAGGCAGAGAGAGAGAGAGAAAGAAGGTGGAGGTGCTACATGCTTTCAAACAACCAGATCTTATGAGAATTCTATTATGACAACAGTAAGAGGAAAGTCAGCCCCCGTGATTCAATCTCTTCCCACTAGGCCCCTCCTCCAACACTGGGAATTACAATTTGACATGATTTTTCAGTGGGGACACAGAGCCAAACCATATCATTTGGTATTCCAGAATTTCTGCCTTGCTGCTGCCACCCTCATCTCTGGGTGCTTTCTCTTAGTAATTTTTCTCCTCTGACCTCACCGTGCTCTATGGTTATAAATCCCCTCTTGTCTTAGTTGGACTCAAAGTTGAGCTTCAAGGGAACCAAAACATTTTACACTAAAATACATTTATTTGACACATTTCAAGACAGCTATTCAGAAAAGCAGGAAATATTAGAAGGGACAAAAAGCTGTCTTTAGTGGGAAATACTTGCATCTGTAGAGAAAATTTGCATTGTTACAGCTGGGCTTTCTCTGAGAATCTCCCTTGGATAGAAGAAAGATTAACTGAGAATCTGATACCTTTAAAGGTCTAAAGAAAAACATTTCTCAGCTGTTCTCTCTGAGGGCTGCTTCCTGGGAGATTTCATCTAAATAATGAAACCTCTTTTGCTAGCCAGGCTTGTTCTTCTCTCCATCCCATAACCTGTGTTGCCACTGTAAAAAATTTTGCCAAGATTTAAGTGCAATGGTGCAATCACAATGCCCTGCAGCCTTGACCTCCTGGGTTCAAGCAATCCTTCTACTTCAGCCTCCCAAGTAGCTGAGACTACAGACAGGTGCCACTACACCCAGCTAATTTTTAAAATTTTTTCTTTTTAGCAGAGATGAGTTCTCAAGGTGTTTTCCAGATTGGTCTGAGCTGAAGAGATCCTCCTGGCTCAGCCTCCCAAAGTGCTGGAATTACTGGTATGAGCCACCATGCCTGGCCATCTGGCTGTTTTTCCTGCATTCTGCCTGTAATTATTTTTTAGGGTCTTTTTCCACATGTCTCATGTTCAGAGTCTCTAAGGCACATGGTGTAGCTGAGCTGATTCACCCCTGTCCTGTATAGAGCACCATGTGGGGGAAAGTTCCTGGTCTGCTATGCCATCGCCCAGCCAAAGGAGGGCTGCCTTTCTCTGGTTTCACATTCCTGTTTTAAACAGTCATGCCCAGAATTACTTGGCTACATTGCGACCTTAATACAAAATCTAGTTTGTGAAGTCATAGAGTTTGCTTTTCATAAAACTAAAATCTCTTTGTGTTTGTCTCACATCCCATTAGGGTCCCTCTTTTAGCACCTCGCTAAGATTATTAAAATTAATTAAAATATTTTGATGAACTAGAATGTCTGCAGAAACCTCTAGCCGTTTGCAGAAACCTCTAGTCATTTTGCTGGTTCAACAGGATAACCTTTTTTCCACTAAGGAACATTAGTGTTTGTTTAGTCGTGAGGTTAATATTCCCCATTTTTCCACCTCCCCTCTCCCAGCCCAAAATGTACTAGGCTGAGTGTTAAGGACCAAAGACTAATCACTTGGCCAAAGGGTTCCTTGTATCCCCACAAGTCCTAGGTATTTTTCTCTCATTGAGAGAAGAGGGTGTGTACTGATGCCTGGACATGGGATTTTATACCTTCTTGGCATCCAAGGTTGAAAAATCAATATACAGAGAAGGTATAGAAAATTCCCTAAAAAATGATGGGTAATGCCAAGACTATGGGTTTTTCTTTCCTCCTGTTACTTGTAACAACGATATTCTAGTGTGAAACTTGAGTTCTGCATTTCTCAATTTTTCTTGACTCTCAAACTAGCTAAACACTTCATTCTTCATTCTTAAGAGATTGGCACCAAATCACTTTGTCCTGTTTGGGAAATGCAGTGTTTCTCCTTTGGGTGCATTTTTGAAGACCAAGGCAAAAAACATTAAAGTTCATTTTTATTGTCTGTGTGGGCAAAACATTTGATTTTACTGAACATGCTCCATAGTTACATGGCAGGATGTTTTGACTGGCATAAAAACTAACCAAACTTCTAAATGTGAAGTAGGTCACCGGAAGAGTACAGGACTCTTTGTGAGTTGTTTTTCTCTCCAGTCCAGTATTTTCCTAAACATGTTTCCTAAATAACATAGGGATTTCATTTGGAATAAGCAAGTCATTTAAATTTATTCATAGGTATAGGAGGGTCCAGAAATGTTAAAAGCACAAGTGGTTTCAACTGTATGCCTTTGCTTTATGCGATAGTAGAGTAAGTTGAAAATGTTTTCTACTGAAGCAAGTGACTGTTTCCCTATGATTAAATAAGAGCAGCTTCAGATGGCTGGTTTGCACTGAAGGGTGGAGCAGGCCCATTTGCTTTCACGTGTCAGAAAAGTCTGCTCTACCCCACCCCTCAATAAGGCACTCACATCCACCAGGCGTGATCCTCTAAAAGTGATTCCATAGTGTTATCTCCAACCTCCTTCTCTGGAAAATCTTGCTGACTCACAGTGACTAGGGGACTTCTATGGCATTCTAGACCTGCCAGTCACAAGCCTGGATCATTGTACCTGTTCTGAGTTGCACCGGTCTTTTACTTTAGTGCCAGGTGGTTGGAAAGTGGCCCATGAAATAGAGCTGCTCATTTTTAAATTATCCCTTTTGTTGAAGCTTTTGTTCAGGAGGCAGGAGTGGGGCCACCGGCTGTGGACCTCATGGTACACTCTTGTTTTTAAGACGTGTTATACAGGGCGAAGGAAAGCAAAATGTGCCACTCAAAATGTACTTTTTTGGCATATTTTATGTGGCTATTCAGAGGGGTCACAATTCAGAGAGGCTGCTGACACACAAATAGACCTGAAAAGCTTTCTTCTCTCGCAGAGATTTGTAAGTGCTGAGGAAATGTACATTAGTGAAGTGAACAGAGGGTAAAAGCCTTTCTCTGAGGACCCCTTTATATGCCTTATTGGATCAAGGAAAGATTAACTTCCAGGAAAAACAGACTAAGATCCTGACACTTTAAAGGTCTGACTGAGAAGCTTCTCCACAGGCCGCCACCTACCTTCTTGAGGTCAGCTTGGCGAGCCCCTGAGAGGCTCACATCTATGTGGGGACAGCCTTGGCTCACCATGTGTGCCTCTTCCACTCCCCCATTACCTGAGACTCCACCTCCCCCAGAGACCCCAAGCCCCTGTTCTCTCTGTAGCCTCAGGATGTGATGAAACCCTCTGTCATCAGGACCACCCTGGAGTCTCTTATTGGCAGGAATCTGATGTCCATGTACATATATACAAATTTGCTGTCTTTTTATATTAACCTTTCACTTGTCAGTTTGTTTTATACACTCTAATTATCAAAACTTCAGAAGAGAGAGGGAAGAAAATGCCCTTTTGTGCCTACATGGGTATCTGCATTTCCCATGCAAAGCAGAAAAGGTGAAGGAAAGTAATAAAACCCAGTCCCAGAAGTAGCAAACATGGCCCTGACAATGGCAATGAAGGAATAGTGCATGGCCTAAGATTGGTCTCCCCACGACTGAGGACCATCAGGGCCAAGTCTCTTGTCTTTCCTTCCTCCCTTCCCTTCACCCCCAACTGCACACAGCCGGACACAGGACACAGTTTGGTAAGAGCATCTGATTAGGGAGGGTAACTGGGAAACTGTACATGAGAATGTGCATGAGTGAGGGTGAATATGTTAAGAATTGAGGGGAGGAAAACCTATCCTTCTGCAAGTCTATTTACCTATCTACTACGTTTTTATATGTTAAGACTTCTGAGAGCCTGCTGTTGGGTGTGTAGTGCGATCCTCTGGAAGGAAGTTGAGGAAGACGCTGTCTGTGCCTCACTTTCTCCTTGGGCTTATGGCAGCTTTCCAGTGGAAACCTGACAGGACAAGCCTCTGTACAAGATCCCCGTGTTTGTGCTCATTGTACAGTAACTGATCAACACACAGAAATAGCGGCTGTTGAGCAGAGAAGGGATTTAATACTTGAAGGCAAACAAATGAGGAGATAGGAGGAAACTTCGAATTCACTGCCCTGAGGAGTTTTAGACAGGGGTTTCAAGGGAATTTTGGCAGGCAGGGGGCTGAGGAGCAGGGCGGGGTGCTGACTGGCCAGGGTGTGGACTATGAAAGCCTAAGGATGTGGTAACTGCATTGTGGGGCTGAGTCAGTTCCTCGGAGGGGGCTGTAGATTGGATGGCATCTGTAGAACTGTTATAATGCATGATGCAGAAAATATCTCGAGTGGAAAACGTGAGATTTCCTACTGTTTGAGATGTTATCTATGAGGTTAGGACCTTGTGATAGGGACTACATGATTCCAAAGTGTAAGAAGTTACATGGAAGTGGGCTACAGGGCAAGCTGGTTAATGTGTAACTATGCTTTCTTTCAGAGTTCGTGCTTTTGCTAAAAAACCTAGACATTTGCTTTCATTAATATGATGAAGATGTTGTCACCTCCTCCAGTGAACACACTCATTCTGAGGGACAGCTGGGTTGCAATGGCTATCAACTTGTCACAATGCTTGCATTGATGGAAAGCTTTCCTTCATCTGAATGAAAACATTCCTCCATAGTAAGCACTAGGTCATGAGAGTCTCTGGGAAACACTCAGGGTACACAAGAAATGTGTTTTGTTGTTAAAAACAAAATCCTTTACTTTGCTCAAGGGAAGGCTGCTGATCTCAGCACATATTTCAGCCTGGGCATCACCCAGCAGTTTCTCAGAACTTACATGAAGGGATCCAACTAAGCATAATTCTGAATATTGTTCACTAATCCTGACTCTGCTTCCTTCCCAGGTGTGGAATCAAAGACAGAAATGCTCCCTCTCCCCTTCTGCTGTGTCTTTCCCCTGAGGCTTTTCTGCACGCCATCACTGCCCAGCTTGGCATCTGTCCTGGGCATTGGTAATAATGTGGTACTCTTCACCCCCTTCTAGCGTTTGATCACTCATCAGGAGCCCTCATCTCCGCGGGGAAGAACACAGAACGTGAGCTCCTGACTTCTTGCTTCTTTCTGTCAGCTTTCATTCTGATATATCCAAGTTGCAAGAGAAAAATAGAGGCGACATGGCATTCACCCTAAACCTACTTTGCATGATGATGTCTGTTACACTTAGAAGAAACATACTTTATTGAAAGAGATGCGTAAGTCCTCCATTCTATCCATTCTCCAGATGACTCTGACTTAAATAGAGCGAGTTTCACTGTCTTGGTGAGTCTATCGCTCTTTGGACACCTCTTCTTCAGGGTCAGAATTCAAGAGAGGGTCCTGGAGGTCTGAATGTTTCTCAGAAGCCTCCAAGCCCTCAGCTGCCCACTTCAAAGCTCACAGCCTCAGCACCACAAGGCACCATGATGTCCCCAGGGTAATTTCCTTAGGCTCTCTCCCACTTTTATTTCAGTCATCAAAAGAGCCCAGGACTCCAGTTCTGAACTGAACTCTCATTCCCTAGAGCTCTTACCTCCAGTTTTCTGACTTTTTCTCACACTTTCCTTAATTCTAAAACCCTTCTGATGGTCCTTCTAGAACCTGTAACTTCCCATTAGAAAATTCAAAATTCTCACTTTATGTTAATATTATCAGCTTCTGTTCCCTCCCCTGTTTTTCTAACCCAAACTTCTAGTTTCCATGAGGATTCTGTTTCTCCTGCAGTGCTCCTAAGGGGAGGTGTGGGTCCTCTCCCACTGTCCTCCCAGGGAGCATGGAGGGAGGACAGACATCCTCCTTTCTCCTCACTGCCTCATCTACCCAGTCCCCCTCCTGCTCCCTAGAAACACCCATTTTTCAAACTACCTTTCCTTGTGGCAATCACCTGCCTTCTACCTCACTTGCTCTGATTCCTTAGAGATTTTTTCCTGTGTTTGAGTTACATTGTGCAGTCCTACTTCTGCCATCCTTCCTGGTGTTTTCAATACGCTCATAGATATTGCAACCCAAGCTCTAATCATTCATCTCCTTCCCACCATCTCTTAAACTTATGTCACTGAGGTTTTTTTTCTGCCCTCATTGTCCTGCTAAAAATGTTCTTATAAAGTCACCAATGACTACCACATTGCTAAAATAAGAGTTAATCTCAGTCCTTGACTTGTTTAATCTATCAGCAGTATCTAACAATCTATCACTATTGGTCCTTTATCATTCTTTTTTTTTTCTTTGGACACAGAGTTTCACTTCATCACCTGGGCTGGAGCTGGAGTGCAGTGGTGCGACCTCAGCTCCCTACAACCTCCACTTCCCAGGTTCAAATTGAGAGCTGACAGCGCACTGGCAGCCCTCGCAGCCCTCACTTGCTCTGGGTGCCTCCTCTGCCTGGGCTCCCACTTTGGCGGCACTTGAGGAGCCCTTCAGCCCACTGCTGCACTGTGGGAGCCCCTTTCTGGGCTGGCCAAGGCTGAAGCTGGCTCCCTCAGCTTGCAGGGAGGTGTGGAGGGAGAGGTGCAGGCGGGAACCGGGGCTGCGCACAGCGCTTGCAGGCCAGCATGAGTTCCGGGTAGGTGTGGGCTCCGTGGCTCACACTCGGAGCTGCCCCCCGGCCCGCAAGCCCCGGGCAGTGAGGGTCTTAGCACCTGGGCCAGCAGCTGCTGTGCTCCACTTCTCGCCGGGCCTTAGCTGCCTTCCTGCGGGGCAGGGCTCAGGACCTGCAGCCCGCCATGCCTGAGCCTCCCGTCCCCGCTGTGGGCTCCTGCGTGGCTGGAGCCTCCCGACGAGTGCTGTCCCCTGCTCCACGGTACCCAGTCCCATGGACCACCCAATGGCTAAGGAGTGCCAGCGCATGGGGCTGGACTGGCAGGCAGCTCCACCTGCGGCCCTGGTGCGGGATCCACTGAGCGAAGCCAGCTGGGCTCCTGAGTCTGGTGGGGACTTGGAGAACCTTTATGTCTAGCTAAGGGATTGTAAATACACCAATCGGCACTCTGTATCTAGCTCAAGGTTTGTAAACACACCAATCAGCACCCTGTGTCTAGCTCAGGGTTTGTGAATGCACCAATCGACACTCTGTATCTAGCTAATCTAGTGGGGATGTGGAGAACCTTTGTGTCTGGCTCAGGGATTGTAAACGCACCAATCAACGCCCTGTCAAAACAGACCACTCGGCTCTCTGTAAAATGGACCAATCAGCAGGATGTGGGTGGGGCCAGATAAGAGAATAAAAGCAGGCTGCCCAAGCCAGCAGTGGAAACCCGCTCGGGTCCCCTTCCACACTGTGGAAGCTTTGTTCTTTCGCTCTTTGCAATAAATCTTGCTGCTGCTCACTCTTCGGGTCCACACTGCCTTTATGAGCTGTAACACTCACTGTGAAGGTCTGCAGTTTCACTCCTGAAGCCAGCGAGACCACAAACCCACCAGGAGGAACGAACAACTCCAGACGCGCTGCCTTAAGAGCTGTAACACTCACCGCGAAGGTCCGCACCTTCACTCCTAAGCCAGCGAGACCATGAACCCCACCAGAAGGAAGAAACTCCAAACACATCTGAACATCAGAAGGAACAAACTCCAGACATGCCACCTTTAAGAACTATAACACTCACTGCAAGCATCCGCGGCTTCATTCTTGAAGTCAGTGAGACCAAGAACCCACCAATTCCGGACACAAAATCATGCTCATGCCTCAGCCATCTGAGTACCTGGGATTACAGGCACGCACCACCACGCCCAGCTAATTTTTATGTTTTTAGTACAGACAGGGTTTCACCATGTTGACCAGGATTGTCTCACTCCTGACATCAGGTAATCTGTCTGCCTGGGCCTCTCAAAGTGCTGGGAGTACAAGTGTGAGCCACTGCGCCTGGCCCATCATTCTAAAATGACTTTCTTAAGTTGGTTTCTATGACATCACACTCTCTGTCTTCCTCCTTCTTTTCCGTATCTGACTTCTTCACTGACTGCTCCTCATTTTCATCACTTTTAATTATTGGGGTGTCCCATAGTCCTTAGATTCTTCCCTATCTTCAGGAAGTCAGACTCCTCTGATAATCCTAGACATTTCAACAGCTTTAAATATTGTCAATAGGCTTACAATCCCAAATTAATAACTGCAGCTCAATTCTTTTCCCAGAAACTCAGACTGGAATATCAAATTTTCTACTGAACATCTCCACTCCAGGGCCCAATAGGAATCTCAAGCTCAGGATATCCCAGGCAAAATACCCTTAACCACCCTGCAATCCTGCCCCACATCAATTTCCCCAATTTCAATAAAACAAAAACTCCATTTTCCAGTCATAAATACTAAAGTTTGCCAAGTCATTCTTGCTTTTTTTAAAATAATACTTTCCTCTCCAATATAAAATCTGTGATCAAGCCCTGCCATGTCCACCTTAAAAATATATCCAGAATCTGACCATTTCTCATCAGCTGTTCTTCAACTATCTTGTTCCAAGTCATGCCATTCCTTGCCTTGGTTATTCAAATAGCCTCCTAACCAGTTTTCCATATTTATTTTTCATCAACTTATATTTTACTCTCTCCACAGCAGCTCAGTATCATCCAGTGTCTCCTCATCTGTCCTAGAGTAAAAGCCAAATCCTTGCAAATGGCCTACAGGGCTCTGTATAAACGTGGCCCTCCGTTCCTTTCTGACCTTTCTCCTAATCCTGCTGTTCCCAGAACAAGCCTGGCCTGCCCTTGCTGCAGGGAGTGTGCCCTTCAGGATCCCTCTGCCTGAAGCCCTCTTCCCTCAGCTGTCAGCAAGGCTTGCTTCCTCTACTCTTTCAGGTCTTTTCTCAATTGTCTCTGTCTCAGTGAAGATTCCCGGCTTATGCTATTCATAATTTCATTTGTCCCTCACTCCGTTTGTACTCTACCCCTGTCCTTGCTTTCTTCCCCTTCACGGTACTTCTCATCATGTGACATGATCTTCATTCTATGTATTTATTAGTTTCTTGTCTGATTCTCTCTCCTGGAAAGTGAGACCCATGAGGGCTTAGATTTTTTTTCTGCTTGTTTCTAGTGCCTATAGAATATTTATTATTGAACGAAATACACTTTCATATAATTCTTGAATACTCCACTCAGATGCCATTGCAAAACCTTTTCTGACACTCCTTCTACCCCATCTTCCAGGATTGCATGTGGCCTTCTGTCTCCTTGGGTTCCATGCTGTATTATAATTGCCATTTGCAGTCTCCCCTTGTGTTGGCTTCAAGCTGCAAAGGTTGTAGCGATTTTTGTGTAGCCAAGCAGAACTCAGCTGGTGCCTCTGTTTGGATCCTCAATGGGCTGCAATGAAGGCATAATCCAAAAGCAGGGTCTCCCTGAAGGCTCGATGGGGAATAAGCTGCTTCTAAGGTCATGGGTGACTGGCAGGATCGAGTGCCTTCTGGGTTACTAGAGTGAAGGCCTCAGTTTCTAGCTGGCTGATGGCCGTAAGCCACACTCAGTTCCTCTCCATGTGGGCATTTTCAACAAGGCAATTCATCTTATCAATGTTTGGCCAAACACAGGTTGGGCAAAGCACAGCATAACGATAACAAAACACCACTTAGTGATTTTATCCAGCCAAAGATCCTTATTACTTGAGAATGAACTTTTGCTAATGTTGTTCTTTGACTTGCATAGTAGAAGCAATAAAAATGAAGGGCACACAGGAAAGGGTGGCCAACATTATCCAGGGGGTCATAAAAGGACTCCTGAAACGTGTGGCTGGATCGGGTGTATTTAGGATAAGTAAGACATCAGAAACCCGCTGGAAACAAGGTGCAAACCAAGCAGGCTGTCCTAGAAAGAGGAAATAGCTGGAAAAAAGCAAGAACACAGAGATGTACTCATGATCTCAGACCAGGCTTTTTGTGCCAAGAAGATTCAAAGAAAAGGCAAAGACAGTCACAAAATGAAATGAGGCCTTGATACAGGAGAATTTCATTATAATGAAGGTAGAAATGGGTGCTTCCAAGGAATCTCATTACATGTGTGCCTGGGACCAGGCATCTAGCTTTGTTCAGGGAATTCTCAATACGCTGTTTGTGATGCGATTTGTGATAAAATGGATGGTGTGAGACTTAACTGAGGTCTTCTTGTAGAATCAATGTCTAGAAATGACCAATTTAATAATCAGGTTGTATCTTCTAAAGTAAGTCCTATATCCTTATCAAAGACAGGTTGGAATATTTAATACTTCAACTTAAGTGTCAAGAGTGAACAATGCCTAGAAGATCATTCAAACTCCTCTCTCAGCATACCATTTCTGTATGTTCCTGTAAGATACACCTGCACAGATAGGAAGCAATTGAAAAAAAGGCAATAGATCAATTCCAGCTTCATTTGGAATCACTGACAGTTGTAATATGAGCTCTTCACATATTGAGGTTGGTGGAAATAAAGAACGCGGGAGCCTTTTCTTCTACTGGGATCTCACAGAGGAAAAGGAGGAAAGACGGTCAGATTAGCTGGGACTGATGACGGATCTGAAGCACAGCCATTCCGTGAGGCTGAATGGTGGACACTTCGTCTGGGTGCTGGGATTTGGCACTTATGCTCCTGAAGATGGAAGTGGATCCTGGGGTCTGAAGGGTCCTAGATCAGCTGTCCTTGCAGGGTGGCCAGCAGGCAGGAGCCCTGCACCTGGTAGGCAGTGGGTGCCTGGAAGTGTTTGTCTGAGCTTCCATTTCTCTGTCTGTAACTTGCCCCTCTCAAAGTCACAGAGATCTTTTTTTGCATGAAAGTGACATGACAAGCTCATGACTATGAGGATTCAGAGGTTGATAATTTTGTGGGTAGATGATATTTAGTATTATTGTTATTATTATTGTTACCTAACTGATATCCAGTGCTTTCTGTGTATTTTAAGCATTTTATATACTTTTAAAATTTAATTTCTTAACAACTCTTCTATATAAGTACTCTTATTATTATGTATTTCTTACATTTTCACAGTGTAAGTTCAGGCTGCTCTCATCTTCCACGCTGGTCAGAGCCACTCAGCTCAACTCTTGGTTAAACATCAGAATGGCCAAGGTTCTGCAAGTAAATGGAAACCAACATGAATACTTGGTGGCACCTCTGCTGTGAGATTGCTGGGGCTGGAAGTATTTGACAGAGAATATCAACCAACTAAATCTTTTATCATGTAAGAGGCCACTGTGATACCAAAAATTAGATAATGAGGAAGGATGGCTTAGGAGGCATAAAGTCACAATGGAGACTGAATTGTGCTTGTGGGGTCCAAGGCTCTTGGCCCTCTAAAGTTTCACTGAAAATCAGGTGATGTAAGGCAGATTGACTAATAGGAAAACAGGCACACAAATTTATTTATTGTGTATACACGGGAGCCTTCAGGATGAAGACTCAGCTTCTCAATGAGTTGCAGAAGCCTGTATCCCATCTGGAGGTTACAGAAAAAATGGGGGCCTGAATTCTGGTAAAACAGCTTGTTTTAGATTGGAAAGGAGCAATTATTTGGGGAGAAAATAAATGATTACTAGGGAGAATGACTGTTTCAGGCAACAGTAATTAACTGGTAAATAGTTTTCCTTGGGATTTACTGATCCTTGGAGCCAGTCATTATTTTGAAAAGGTTCTGTTAAGGCCTCGTTATAGTCTTAACCTTCTTTTCTGTACTGAGTCATGAGATAACAAGAGGGGAGCAAGAATATTTACTCTCCTTCGTGGGTCAGGTTCTAGCTATATGTGGACAGGGGAAATAGACTCTTCCATTGGTTGTTGATCTCTGAGGGTTTTAAAATTAAAATATCCATTATACTAAGGAGCCCTATTTGGGGTAAAATAGTTTGATTTATTTCATGCTTCTCACCAAATGCATTACATGCCCATTTGCAGTTCACAGCAGGGAATTTGAAGTGGCACACTATGGTTACGGTAAAGTAAGAGCAGCTTTGGGGTTACTTTGGAGGGATTGCCCCAAAAATGACAGAGACCAATGTGCTCAGTCTTGGTAGAACTATTACATGAGAGATCACCAGGTAACAGCTGTCAGACAGAACCACCTTCTTTTCAATGGCATAATTGTCCATCTCATCCATTGTGAAAACTTAAGCATAAGTTAAGCATAAGTCTCACATATGTTATGTCCACCTTTTATTACTGTTGTTAACTACAGAACAGAGCTAAAGAGAACAGAACAGAATGTCCCATAATTTCCTGGCTGACAAAAATAAAATTAATACATGTGTGATTAAATTTCATACAGTAAAAAAGGTGGGAAGTGAAATAAAAACCTCCCCAACACTCTGTGTTTTCACCTGGGGCATTGCAGGAACAGGAAGCAGGTCCAGTGTGCACTGTGGGTTCTTTTGTCCTGCAAGTTTGTTTTCTGGGAAGCTCACAAGCACAGACTTTCAGATTGAGTCATTAATCCACTACCTCTTTGAAATTTGAGGGACAATGTGCACTTGCTGTGGTCCTGACTTTGCCCACAGGCAATGCCAGCTTGGTGAGATAAGGTCTGTGCCATGGGTGAAACCAGCTGGTCACATGCGTGGGAGCGGCTCTTGGGCTTCTGCACCCAGCTGCTCTCGCTGTGATATGTCCTGGATCTGGCTGCAGTGTTCCTCCCTCTCAGACCTCCCACAGAGGTTCTGCTGCTGCTGAGCAGGGCACAGCCTTGTATAACCCCCTGCATGAGATACCGGCGCATTGACTTTAGTCACTTCTAGGCTTAGAAGTCAAGCACACAGGGGGCACTCAATAAATGCCTGTGGCATCAATGTGGAAAAAGTACTTGGGAATGAAGGAAAAAGGCATCATAAATGATCTGCAGGCCTCAGCTGGTTGGAAACTGGAAAGGTTGGGTGTTATGGACTCATTTATTATTGTTAGCCAAAAATAGATGCTGTAATGTGTATGTGTGTGTGCCTGTGTGTATATGTGTGTGTGTGTGCTAGTGTGTATGTGTATGCAAGTGTGTGCCTGTGTGTGTGAATGTGTGTCTGTGTGCATGCCTCCATGTATATGTGTGTACCTGTGTGTATGTGTGTGTGCCCTAGGATTGTTGGAATGGTAAATGAGCATCATATCTAGGAATACAGATAACCACGAAGGGGAAATATCTCTACCATAAGAATTACAAAACACTGCTCAAAGGAAATCAGAGACAAGAAAAACAAATGGAAAACCATTCCATGCTCATGGATAAGAAGAATTGATATTGTTAAAATGGCCATACTGCCCAAAGCAATTTACAGACTTAATGATATTCAATCAAACTATCAATGACATTCTTCATAGAACTAGAAAAAAACACTATGTTAAAATTTACAAGGAACCAAGAAAGACTCTAACGGACAGGCAGAACAAATGTGGAGGCATTACATTACACAACTTCAAACTATATTGAAAAGCTACAGTAACAAAAACAGCATGACACTTGTACAAAAACAGACACATGGATCAATGGAACAGAACAGAGAGCCCAGAAGTAATGCTGCACAACTACAATAATCTGATTTCTCACAATTAATAAAAACAAGCACTGGGGAAGGGACTCTCTATTCAAGTGATTGGTACCTGGGTGACAAAATAATCTCTACACCAAACCCCCATGACGTGCAATTTACAAACCTGCACCTGAACCCTGAACCTAAGACAAAATATAAAAAAAAGTCTGCAATCCAGTATTGATGGACAGTAAGGCTGTCTTTACCGATTTCACGTGTTTGTATTGGGAGATGGCCTTTCTCTGGCACCCGTTGCAACCAATTATTTTAGAGAGACAGGTTAACAACTGCTTGACCATCACCTGATGGTCACCTGATATTCCTGGGGAGAATGAGCCACTTTCATGCCCTGCTCATGTCTGACTAACTACCTACTCTAACATTCCCCCTCAATACTCCAAGACCCAGTTCTTGGGGAAAATGGACAAAGATCAGGCGTCTATAACTGCTTCCTACTGAGAGAGGGGTGGTGAAAGTTGTCCTGTGGGTTTTGGCCTCTTGATAACTGTCAGGGCAGAGTGGCTCTGTGGTTTGGTGAAAGTGCTATCCAGGTAGGTCCAAGGGAAACACAAACAGGATTTTTCCTTTGTTGTGTTCTACTGATGGGCAGCCTAGTGGTCTTCTATAGAAGGGTGACTCCTGAGTATTTAGAAGATGGTATCCTCACTGAGGATAATTTGGAGCTTGAAGGTCCATCTCTCTAGTTTCTTCTGAGCTGTAGCCAGAGATCACTGGTTGGTTCATGGAATAGGCAGGGTTAGTGTAAACTGCAGATGAAAATACAAAAACTACTGTGGAGACTAGACTCTAATAACAGGTGTACCACAGTTCTTGAAACATCATTTTTCCCCCTACAGTCCTCATTTTTATTACAAATAAATCATGATAGGACTCATTTGTTTGCAAAATAAGCTTTAGCCTTATTATACTTGGCTTGATTATCTGCATAACACACAGCAAGAATAACTATTTACCATTTAGGCTCCTTTTTAAATTGGCTTTGATGAAACTTTGTTCCATAAGGAATCTCAGATAAGACTTTTTCAAGCCTTAAGCCCAGCCATGGGTGTGTGCTATCAAATACCTGCATGATTTGGCTAAATTCCTCTCCTCTTGAGGTCCCAAGACAATTTGAAGCTCCTGGGCCTGTGAGAAAGTGACATTCTTTATTTTCCATGGGTGGCAAACTGTGTAAAGGGACTGTGTAGACAAGGCATGAGGACAGTTTTCCAAAGAAGCTATTTTTGGCTCTATAAGTCAAGTTTGATTCCTTAAAAGAAAGCACATCATTCCAGTCAAAACCTTGGTAAAATAAGCAGTTTCTCCAATTGTGTCCTGTTGGGAAAAAACAACAACAACAACAACAACAACGAATTCTTATCACACTTATGCAAATAAATATATTGCCGTATGTTAGGAACACTCAAAAATAGTCTCCAAATTCTGAATAAATCAGGTAGAGAGAAACAAATATGCTCTAAATTTCTTTACAGGAGTGTACATTACTCTATTGTTAAAAGCTGTAAATAAGCTTGAGAGAAAAGTTTTCTTGATTCTGAAAAAGAAAACACAGGATCAGCAACATTCTAAGCAAAAAGTAAAAAGCATATTTTTTGGTCCTTTATTAGTTCAATTTATGCAATTAATTCCTGTTTTGCTCAATATTTATTATCACATTAGTTTTCCAAGAGGGTCTTGGAAGTTCTTTCCTCTCCATCTCAACATCACCTTCTTAAAAGTTATCACAAACCTGCATTCAAGAGCACAGAATCCTAGAGCTGATGATAAAACCACATTTAAAGAGGATCAAAACAAGACAACAATTGTTTGTGGATGACAAAAAATCTTAGGGCAGCCACAGTCAAAGACACAATTGGCAAGGAAATTTAGTTACCTCTGTGGCATACAATAATTTAACATAACAATTATAATTATAACTGGTACTATAAACTACGTCATAACAGAATTATAGGAATTTCACGTAATTTTTGAACACACACCAATAGTACATTTATACAAATATGTCCAAAGAAAGTAAAAATTTTCCTTTGCATTAGTATACTTCTAATGTTAAACCCAATCCTTAGTAACACCTTATAGACAAATCTACTTAATCTTATTCATTTTGACCATACGGTAAGATTTTCTACCCTCTAGCTCCATCCATGTTCCTGACAAGGTTATTATATCATTCTTTCTCACAGCTACATAGTATTCCATGTTGTATATGTACGATATTTTCTTTATCCAGTCTGCCATTGATGGTACTTAGATTGATTCCATGTCTTTGCTATTGTGAATGGTGCTGCAATGAACACAGGTGTGCATGTGTCCTTATGATAGAATGATTTATATTCCTTTGGGTACATACCCAGTAATGGACTTGCCAGGTCAAATTGTAGTTCTGCAAAACTTTTTCTAAAAATAAAATTTAGGGGACTAATTTAAGGGATCCATTTTTTGTCACCAATTATTCTCTTTTTGAGTTCTGTTTCTGAAGTTCATCCATGTTGCTGCAAAAAACATGATTTCCCTTTTCTCTGGCTGAAGTGTATTCCAGTGTTTATATATACCACATTTTCTTTATCCAATCATCCATTGATAGGCACTTAGTTTGATTCAATTGATTTGATTGTTTGCTCAAAAGTTATTGAGGGGCATGTTGTTTTGTCTCCATGTACTTGTGTAATTTTCCAAGTTCCTCTTGGTATTGATTTTATTCCACTATGGTCTGAGAATATAATTGATATCATTTTGATTTTTAAAAATTTGTTGAGACTTGCTTTACAGTGAAGCATATACTTAATTTTGGAGAATATTCCAAGTGCAGATGAGAAGAATTTATACTCTGTGGTTGTTGGATAGAATGTTCTGCAAATATTAGGTCCATTTGGTCTGTGGTCTAGTTTATTTCCAGAGTTTCTCAGCTGATTTTCTGCCTTGATGTTCTGTCAGATAATATCAGTGGGTGCTGAAGTGCTGTACTATGATCGTACTGCTATAAATCTGTTTTCTTTGGTCTAGTAGTATTTGTTTTATGTATCTGGGTGCTCCAGTGTTAGGTAAATACAACTTTAAATAATTAGGTCTTTTTTGTGTGTTGAACCTTTTATCATTATAAAATGCATTTTATTTGTCTGTTTTCACTGTTGTTCTTTTAAGGTCTGTTTTATCTAATACAGGAGTGGCTACTTCTGCTCATTCTTGCTTTTTGGTATTTTTTTTCTATTTGTGTGATATATGCATTTCCACCCCTCTGCTTTAAGTCTGTAGATGCCTTTAGTCACTTGGTGAGTTTCTCCTATGCTGTGTATGGTTGAATCTTGCTTTTTGTATCCAGTTTGGCACTCTGTGTCTTTCAGTGGAGCATTTTGGTCATTTACATTTAAGGTTAACATGGTATGTGAGGTTCTGTTTCTGTCATAGTATTGTTTCCTAGTTGTCTTTGAGTTTCAATTATGTAATTACTTTGTAGGATCTGTGAGATTTGTACTAATGTGCCCTTTTATGATGATGTGTATTGTCCCCTAATTTCCATGTTTAGAATTTCTTTCAGCATTTCTTCTAGGATTGAGCTAATGGTAATGAATTCCCTTAGTAATTGTTTGTCTGGAAAAGAATATTCCTGTATCATTTTGGAAGTTTAGCTTAGCAGCATATAAAATACTTGGCTGCCTTTTGTTCTTTAAGGAGGATGAATATAGGCCTGAAGTATATTCTGGCCCGTAGGGTTTCTGCTGAGAATTCAATTTTAGTCTGATGGGATTTCCTTTACAGGTGATTAAGTGTTTCTCTCTTGCAACTCTTAGAATTTTTTTCTTTATGTTGACTTCAAATAGTCTGATGACTATATGCTGTGGTGAGGTTCATCTTGAAATGTATTTTCCAAGAATTCTGTGATCTTCTTGCATCTGAATGTCTAAATGTTTCCCAATACCAGGGAAGGTTTTCTGAAGTATATCCTCCGAAGCGTTTTCCATACTTTTTAGTTCTTTTTCTTCTCACTCTGGAATACTTACATTTCTGAGGGATGGTCACTTCATAAAATTCCCTATTTCTCAAAGACTTTGTGGATTTTTTAAAATTAATTTTTCTATATTAATGTCTGATTGAGTTAATTTCAAAGACTTGTCTTCCAGCTCTAAAATTCTTTCTTCCTCTTGGTCTAGCCTATTGTTAAAGCTTTCAACTGTATTTCACAATTCCTTCAATGAATTTTTTTATTTCCAGAAGTTCTGATTCTTTTTTAAATGATGTCAATATATTCTTCCATATTCTGAATTGTTTTTTTCTGATTTCTATGTGTTAGTTTTCAGCTTTCTGTTTGGTCTCATTGAGTTTCTATAACTCAATATTTTGAATTATTTATCTGGTATTTCAAAATTTCATTTAAGTTAGGATCTATTGCTGGAGAGTTAATGTGTGATCCTTTGAGGGTGTTAAACAGTCTGTTTTTTCATACTTTCAGAGTTGTTTCCTGTTTTTTTCTCAATTGCATAAACTATTTTACCCTGTTATGTTTTGCATTTGCTTTTTTTGGATGTCGAGCTTATCAGGGAGTTTATCTTATTCCCTAGTGCAGTGGGCTTGCATCAGCAGATGTCTTTTTGTGTTGAGTGATTCAAGTTCCAGGCCAGTAGATGGTTCTATGGGAAAGAACTGGCTATGGCTGATACAGATGTGTATATATTGGATCCCTGTTAACTGAGAGAAGCTATCTGTGTAATAAGACATTGATCTGACCTGTGGAAGGCACAGCCATCTAATCTTCCTGCTTAGCCAAGTAGAAGGCCCGCTTACAGGTTACACAATGGCAGACACAAGCACCAGCAGGAGGAAGAAGTTTCGGCGGGCAGATATCAAGTTCCTAGAGGTATGCCGAAGCATGAAGCTGGGAAACCTCTGCTCTTCACCCAGTTTAACAGAGGTTATTTGGGTTGTTGTTGTTGTTGAGTTTCTTAGAATTTTTTTTTTCTTTTTGAGACAGAGTCTTGCTCTGTCGCCCAGGCTGGAGTGCAGTGGCACAATCTCAGCTCACTGCAGCCTGCACCTCCCAGGTACAAGCAATTCTCGTGCCTCAGCCTGCCAAGTACCTGGGATTATAGCCATGAGCCACCCCCCTGGCTAATTTTTGTATTTTTAGTAGTGATGGGATCTCGCCATGTTGACCAGGTTGGTCTTGAACTCCTGACCTCAGGTGATCCACAAACATCAGCCTCCCAAAGTGCTGGGATTACAGACATGAGCCACCACGCCTGGCCATAAATTTTTGATATGAGTTTTCTATTGGATTTACAGTTTGTAAATATTTTCTTCCATTTTGTAGGTTGTCTGTTCACCCTTTTGATTATTTCTTTTGATTTACAGAAGCTTATTTGTTTTATTAAGCCATATATGTCTGTTTTTATTCTCTTGTTTGTGTTCTTGAGGTCATACTCTTGAATTATTTCCCTAAATTTAGTTATTACTTTTTCCCCAAAGAATTTAGAATTTTCCTTACATTTTCTGATAGCAGTTTATAGTTTCAGTTCTTACATTTAAAACTTTAATTTATTTTGAGTTGTTTTAAAACTTTGCAAAGCAATTTGGAAATATAGGCAATATTGGAAATGTCTAACTTTTGTGAAAAACATCAATTTCATATTATGGTTTTAGGGGTCAGGATTGTAATCTCATCAACATGTGATTTACTGCAAAAGGTCTGTTTAGGTCACTCATGTTAATTTCCTTGCCCTTGGCATGTGGTTGCAGTGGGAAGAGAGCTGCTGTGACCCAGTCCTAGCCAATGCCACATAAGAGGGACTATGCTAGGGGCTTCTAGGAAGGATTCCTCACTTCTAGGAAGAAATTTTTAAAATAAGGTGGCCTTTCTTCTGCAAGTAGCTATTGTCCTGCTGCAGTGTGAGTTCAAAAATTGCTTCAGCAGCCTCCACCCACCCTGAAGATAACATCAATACACAGAAGAAGAAGAGCTGGAGAAGATGAGAGTGTCTGTGTGTGTGCCTGTGTGTGTATGTGTGTGCACCTGTGTGTGTGTGCACCTGTGTGTATGTGTGCCTGTGTGTGTGTGTGCCTGTGTGTATATGTGTTTGTGTGCACCTGTGTGTGTGTGCACCTGTGTGTATGTGTGCCTGTGTGTGTGTGTGCCTGTGTGTATATGTGTTTGTGTGCTAGTGTGTATGTGTATGCAAGTGTGTGCATGTGTGTGTGCCTGTGTGCATGACTCCATGTAAGTGTGTGTACCTGTGTGTGTGTGTGATTGTCTGTGCCCTAGGATTGTTGGAATGGTAAATGAGCATCATATCTAGGAATAAGATAACCACAGAGGGGAAATATCACTACCATGAGAATTACAATTACAAAACACTGCTCAAAGGAAATCAGAGACGAGAAAAACAAATGGAAAAACATTCCATGCTCATGGATAAGAAGAATTAATACTGTTAAAGTGGCCATACTGCCCAAAGCAATTTACAGATTTAATGCTATTCCCATCAAACTATCAATGACATTCTTCACAGAACTAGAAAAAAACACTATGTTAAAATTTATAAGGAACCAAAAAGACTCTAATAGTCAAGGCAGAACAAAGGTGGAGGCATTACATTACCCAACTTCAAACTATATTGAAAGGCTACAGTAACAAAAACAGCATGAGACTTGTACAGAAACAGACACATGGATCAATGGAACAAAATAGAGAGCCCAGAAGTAATGCTGCACAACTACAATAATCTGATTTCTGTCAATTAATAAAAACAAGCACTGGGGAAGGGACACTCTATTCAAGTGATTGGTACCTGGGTGACAAAATAATCTCCACACCAAACCCCCATGACATGCAATTTACAAATCTGCACATGTACCCTGAACCTAAAACAAAAGATAAAAAAAAGACTGCAATCTAGCATTGATGGACAGTAAGGCAATGTAACTACTGTCTTTACCGATTTCAGGTGTTTCTATCTATTGGGAGACTGCCTTTCAAATGCTTTAAGGTTTTAGGAGTCATGGATGGTCACCGATGTAATGAGGGAAAAGAGAAGTTATGTAACTGCTGACACTGGAGATTTTAAGAATAGAGATGATGAGATAATGTGTGAAAAACATAACCACAATGGCATATCATAAGAACTCAAAAACTGGTAGATACCATTGTTGATATTTTATTAATATAGAGGAAAATAAAAAATAAAAAGGAAATTATTAAATAAAAGGAAGAATAGCAAGCATCTGTAATTCTTACCACCAATGAAATATCTAACGATAAGCAGGCATTTATTTGTCCCTTTATTTTTTGCATTATGTCTACATAGACATTTTTAGTGCATTGTATTTTCTTGGATATTGGACCCTGGATCATATACAACAATTTACATTTCTGAAACTAACAAATATGTTGCATATGGTAGGCAGGCAGTAAATAATAAATAAAGTAATAAAAGAAAGCCTAATTGCTACCAGTAGCCTTTCACACTCAAAATTATTTATTAGTGATGAGCGTATAACTTGTTTCTCCTTCAAAGTAAGGCAGAAAGAGTTCCTACTTCCATTGAGAATTTGAAATAGAATATCTCTTTGCTCTGTAGGCAGATGTACAGGAATATGTTTGAACATTTGACTTTGTGTGTGTTTTGTTTGTTTGTTTTGAGACAGAGTTTCGCTCTTGTTGCCCAGGCTGGGGTGCAATGGCATTGTCTCAGCTAACTGCAACCTCCTCCTCCTGCGTTCAAATGCTTCTCCTGCCTCGGCCTCCCAAATAGCTGCGATTACAGGTGTCTGCCACCATACCCGGCTAATTTTTGTATCTTTTAGTAGATACGAGGTTTCACCATGTTGGTCAGGCTGGTCTCAAACTCCTGACCTCAGGTGATACAACCACCTACCTCAGCCTCCCAAAGTGCTGGGATTACAGGCGTGAGCCACTGGGCCCGGTGGAATTTGTGTTTTATGTATTAAGTTCCAGGCAGGGGAGTAGAATTGAATAATTTATTACTTTGATAATACAGATACTGTAAAGTCATGTTCATAAAAGTAAAAAATGCAGACACTCCAGCAATCAGAAAATGAACTTCTTAACATCCACACTAATGGCAGCTTCCTAGAAATCACTGTGCTACCCCCCCAATAATGGAATCATTGCAGTTCTTATCATGCATTATCCTTTCTTCTTCAGTCTTGCTGGCCACCCTGATTATCCATTTTCAGGTGAATATTAACATGGAGGACTTTGTATGAGTTCTATCAGAGGCCCTGTGTGTGGATGGTGACACAGAGGACGTCTTTATGCTGGTGATTGGACACATCGCCTTTGGCTAAATCTACCCTGCTTAGCGACTTCAGTCAGCCAAATATAAGTTCACAGGCCAGAAGGGAAAGACAATATTTTTTTTTTCTCTTTGAAAAAATTGAGTGCTCTCTTCCAAAGATTCTTTACCTACTTTGGTCTCCATTACTTGTATGTTTTCTTTCTTTCTGACTCATTAGCTCAAAAATGGTGATTTGCTTATAAGTTAGGATCAGGGGGTGGGAGATGATGACAACCATTTTATAGACATTTTTAGGTGGGCATGGGTGATTTCCAGCTTCTAAAGAAGGAGCTGGTGACAGGTATATATCAGTGCATCTTTAGCTATTTGAGGAACAAGAACACACACAGCATCGAGTCTGGAGGGTGAGGGCTATTGAAAGGATGACCAGGAATCCATGGGCTTCCTCCAGCAGTGCAGGGATCAGATTCCTAGGCTCCCTCCCAGAGCCTAGGAATGAGGCATCCCTCCCAGAGCCTAGGAATGAGGCATCCCTCCCAGAGCCTAGGAATGAGGCATCCCTGTGGGAGGGGTGTTCAGTGAGGAGGGAGGGCACCCACCCAGGAGAAATGATTAGAAGTCAGATATTGAAGAGGTTTAGAAGGAGAGGGTTGAGTACATGTATGCTTGGAAAAATACATTGGCACCATTTTTTGGATAATTATATGTTGTGCATAAAAGGAAATTCTCTCCACAATGCTTTAAGAAATCCTAGAGCTGAGAGTCAGGCCTGGACCTCTGATGTGTGGCCAGTTACAGCACTGACCGTACTGGGCTGTGGTGGGAAAGGACATTGAAGACACCATTGACTGATCAGATTCCCCTAAATACCAACCCCATCTTTAGAGAATGTTCTTAGATTCCAAAAATATACTATTAATTTATGATACTTGATCTTTTTACATGTTTCATACATAAAATAAGTGATGGTTTTGGGGTCAGGATTGTAATCTCATCAACATGTGTTTTACTGCAAAAGGTCTGTTTAGGTCACTCATGTTAATTTCCTTGCTTTTGGCATGTGGTTACGGTGGGAAGAGAGCTGTAAGGCATGCTTACAAGTATAAAAGACAAAATGTTCTAAAGCCATTACATATTACTCTCAAATTAAGATCAAAATGGTAAATAATACATCTAATAAAGCAAATTCTCCAAAATCCCAAAAATCTTTTGGAAACAGTGTCTGCAAAATTGCACAATGTTTTCAAACTTTAGTAAATGTCAGGAACAACTCTTACAAATATATGTAATTCTTTTACATAGTTTTTAGGGGTACGAAGTAAATCAGTTAATCATGGGGACATAAATTTTCATTTCAGGCAGCTCTTTTGAAAACTTGGGATATCCTGGTGAGAGCGTTTTGAGGACAGTGGTTTTTGACCTGGGCACACTAACACTTTCACTCTCAATTGTTCTTAGTCTGGTGGCCACCTTAACCCCATCAAAGAGGCTTTCTCAAGCCAGGTCTCCCAGCAAGTTTTGCAGCCCACAATCTTTCCTTAAACTATTTATTCCTTAAAATTGAGGGAGGTCATAAACTTTGGAGCGCCCTAGGCCAATTTCTTGGACTGTTTTCTGTCTATTTTCATTCCCTTGATGATCTCTGGCTTTAAATACCACCTTTAGGTTGAGAAACACCCCAAAAATATTTCTAGCTGAGCTTTTTCCTCCAAACTCCAGGACAGAACATAACAATGTGTGCTCTACATCTCCTATTAGTGTCTAAGGGACATTCACCCTTAGCATGTCTCAAACAAACCATGTAAACAACTGCCTCCTGTTCCACCTCAACTTTCTTATTTTAACTAATAATTATTTCACATCTCATAAGGTTGATTGATGTAACTACCAAGAAAAGAATGACATTTTCTTAAAACTTACAGGTCAAGTGTGTAGTTCTTAGGAAATATTTTAAATTTCAGATTTCTTTAGCATGCATAACATGTTTTTCCAGATGTGAAATAATCATTAGGACAGTCATTTGTAAATACTAAATCTGCTACAGGCTTATTCCAGTTCTTTACCCTCTGTTTCCACAAAATTCTTAGTTAAAAACAAACAAACAAAAACTTACTCAGAATTTCTTAAAGCTCAACACTTGGTTTTAGGAACACTTGGGATGTAAGAAAATTGTATAGGGACCTCCAATCCCTGATTTCATTATTTTTTCTCTACAAGAAATGCTGAAGGGAATTATTCAGGTTGAATAAAAGGAAATAGTAACTTACAGCCATTTAGACCTATAAAGACATCTAGTCAATGTGAATAGGTGGCAAAATATGAAAACATGTATTTTTGAAATTTTGGAATTGTACTCTATTTTTCTTCAAGATTTAAAATATAAACGTATAGAAATAAGTATAATTCTAAGTTAATATGTACACAATGCAGAAAGCTGTAATTAGTGACAAAACAATGTGAAGTAGAGTAAAAACCTGGGGAAAGGGAGAGTTTTTATATAAAATTAAAGTTAAATTGGTATTGATTCAAAATAAATTGTTATAATTTTATAAAATCATATGTCATCCCCATAGCAATCACAGAGAATAACTGTAGAATATACTCAATAGGAAATGAGAAGGGAATCCAAATGTCATTTATAAAAAAGTCACACAACCTTACAAGATGATAGTAATGGTGAATATGAAGGATAAAAAGCTATAGAGAGTGGTAAAACATTGAAAATGGCACAAGTAGCTGGGACTGGTGGCTCACACCTGTTATCCCAGCACTTTGGGAGGCTGAGGCAGGCAGATCACTTGAGGCCAGGAGTTTAAGACCAACATGGTGAAACCCCATCTCTACTAAAAACACAAAATTAAGCAAGGTGTGGTGGTGCAAGCCTGTAACCCCAACTATGCAGAAGCCCCAGAGGCAGAGGTTGCAGCGAGCCAAGATTGCGCCACTGCAATCCAGCCTGGAAAACAGAGGTAGTCTCTGTCTCAGGAAAAAAAATAATAATAAAGAAAAAGAAAATGGCACAAGTAACTCTTTCCCTGTCATTAATGACAGTCATGTGTCGTGTAATGCCTGGGCTATCTTCTGAGAAAGGCTCTGTGAGGCAGCTCCATCAATGTGGGGACATGAAAGCATGAAGAGAAAATTCTCTCGATGTCATTGCCTCGCCAACTACGTTTATGTCATATTCTAAATCCTTTGCTGTCATTTCAGGAATGTTTACAGCATCTTCAACAGAAGTGGAATCTATTTCACCAAACCACATTGTTTGCTCATCCATAAAAGTAGCTTCTCATTTGGTAAAATTATATTATGAGATTGCAACCATTCAGTAATATTCAAGCTCCAATTTTAACTATAGTTCTCTTACTATTTCCACTACATCTGCAGTTATTTTCTCCACTGAAGTCTTGAATTCCTCAAAGTCACCCATGAGGGTACTAGTACAAAAGCAGGCCCATGGACCAAGGGAACAGTAGAGAAGTCCCAGAAATAATGCTGCACACCTGCAATCATTCAACGAGTGATGCTGTGATGACTAGCTAGCCATGTACGGAAGATTGAAACTGGAAAGCCTTCCTTACACTGTATTAAAAAATCAACTCAAAATATATTAAAACCTTAAGTTTTAAGCCTAAAACTATGAAAAACCCTTAAAGATAACCTAGGAAATACCATTCTGAAATAGACCCTGGTAAAGATTTCATGATGAAGGCACGCAAAGCAATTGCAACAAAAACAGAAAGACAAGTGGGACGTAATAAACTAAACAGCTTCTACACAGCAAAAGACACTAGCCACAGAATAAACAGACAACCTAAAGAATGGAAGAAAATGCCTACACGCTATGCATCTGATGAAGGTCTAATATCCAGAATCAACAAGAAACGGTTTAAGTTGTCTTCATCCTTATCCTTATCCTTACTCTTAATGGCAGTTAGTTAGATGTATTTCTTTAAAGGGGGAATGATAGATGCAGGAAGCAGATGAGGGAGGGCCCCAGAGAATCTCCAACCCACCCCACAAGTGTTTACATCAGATGCTTTTATATAAATGAGGGAACCTGCCCAGGGTCCTGTCTGCACATGCCCACAACGTACTGGGGACATGCCTACCTGCTGGGAGACTGGAGTGGAGCCATGGAAGTTCATGCCATGTGCAAGGGGGAGGGGCCTGGCCTCTTCAGCTCCTGTGTGGTGGCCTGGTACTCAATCTGTGAGATGGTAGCCTGTTAGCAGGGCCCCCCTCTCACTTTTTTTCTCTTTTTTCCTTTTTGTCCCAAAAATTCTGCTCTGTTCACCCTTCAATGAGTCCACGTGCCTAGTTTTTCCTGGTCACAACACAACAACCTGGATTTAGCTGAACTAAGGGGCAAAAATTCAGCATCAGTGTATGACATTGCAACAGATGAATGCAGAAGCAGAAATGAAATTCTGGCTGTCCTCTATGACACTACTCAGGAGATTTTCAAAAACATAAAAACACATCATTTTTCTCTCTGAATGATTTTTGTCTGGTGAAATATTGTATTTTGTTATAAAATATATTATTTATGCTAATATGTGATAGGTTTATTTTTAAATAAATTGATGCATAAATATTTTAAATTTTTTTAGTTTAAATTTCTAATTTGGTGCATATCAATGGATGTAGGACATATAAACTCAAGCTTTGGAGGTCCTCAATGATTTTTAAGAGTGTAAAGTGTTCCTAAGACTAAACATTTTGAGAAAAAAGAGTTTCAAATTTATGTAAGGTACTTCAGTCTGTGGGAAAAATACAGAAAACTCTCAATTTATTTTATGAGGCTAGCATAACTGATGATAAACCTGAAAAATAAAAAAGGAAAACTATAACTATAGCTCAATTACACTGATGAACCTAAATGCATAATTCTAAATAAAAATATTACCTAATAGAATCCAAGACTGATGGAACAATCTTGATGGGCAATCACTGAGTAACTGTGGTTCACCGACTCCAGTAACGCCGGAGTCTAAGTCCTCTACCTATTTCCCTAAAGAGAGCCTCGCAAGGCCTGAGGAGTCCGACAATGCTTCATCCCAGCCTTCCACACCCATTGCCATATTTATGGAGGGAGGGAAGAGAGAGAAAAAGAGAGTCAACACTCTTCAGAGGACTCGCTCCTCTTAGAGGTCAGGGATGAAAAATTAGCCAATAAAATAACATTTTCCTACCATTTACGCACTTGATTCATACTAAGATACATGTTTTTAATTCTAGAAATGACAACTTATTGTATCTATATTAAGATAATTCTTTTTTTAACTTTTATTTTAAGTTCAGGGGTACAAGTGCAGTTTTGCTACACAGGTAAACTTGTGTCATGGAGGTTTGTTGTACAGATTATTTCATCGCGCAGGTATTAAGCCTAGTACCCATCAGTTATTTTTCCTGATTCCCTCCTCCTATCCTCCGCCCTCCGAAAGGCCCCAGTGTGTGTTGTTCCCCTCTCTGGGTCCATGTGTTCTCATCATTTAGCTCCCACTTATAAGTGCGGACATGTGGTACTTGGTTTTCTGTCCCTGTGTTAATTTTCTAAAGATAACGGCCTCCAGTTCCATCCATGTCCCTGCAGTGGACACGATCTTGTTCTTTTTTACGGCTGCACAGCATTTCGTGTTGTATACGGACCAGATTTTCTTTCTCCAGTCTGTCATGCACGGGCATTCAGGTGGATTCTACGGCTTTGCTATTGTGAATGTGCCGCAATAAACATACACAGGCACACGTCTTTATAACACAATGATGTATAAGCTTCTGGGTGTACAGCCAGTAATGGGATTGTTGGGCCAAATGGTTCAAGTTTTCCAATGAGAATATATTGTATGAATAACTTCTGAATTTTCATATCAGATTCAGACACTTTTCTGAAAGACAAGCACATGGCCGGCCAGGTTCTCACATTTCAGGAAGGGCTACTGTTTGCCTGAGGGTCCTTAGGGATATGTTATTGTTATTATTTTTCTATTAAATATTCTATTAAATCGATATTAAATTTAAATTTAATATCTATTAAATCAATATTAAATTCTATTAAATAGTTATTAAATCTGTGCTTGACCCACTTCTGCTTTGATTATGATAAATAATTTGGTCTGTGACTTTAACTGTAGCATAGGAGGGAGGGTTAAATATAAAAGAGCAGGTAACAGCCAAGATCAATTTATTTTGCAAGTTTCACAATAAAAGATCACAAGGCAAGCAAGAACATAAGAACTTTTCCAATGTCTAAAGGGCAATGGTTTCTCCCTTTACACCCGCTGTGAAGTTCAGTGTTTTTCTATTCATGATTGGACATGTCCTAGACATCACTTAGAGGTAAGCACCAAAATCTTTATTTATAGGAAACAATTCTCTGGATGTCAGGAAATATTCCTGTCTCAATATGGGACCATTCCCAGTTACTAAGCTTTAAATTATCATGCATACTTTTTGGTCTTTTAAGTGATTATATTGAGTGCTTTCTTAGGGCTTTCTTTGTAATTTGAAATTACTTGCTAAACTTGTTTAATTATTTCTATATAAAGGATATAAATTATAATTATGTAATTTTAAATAAATGCATAAATGCAACCATGTTCTGCTTTTTACTTTTTCTTTCAATTATTTGTCCTCAGTCGCATGGATATATACATGCTGTGTAGCTGAACTTTTTTCTTTCTCTTCAGATCTCCTTATGCCCTTTCCTTTCCATGTCACTCTTTTCAGCAGCTCCTCACACTAATTTATTAACAGCTTAATATGTACTTCCATATTTTCCCCATGCTCATATAATACAGAACTATTTCTTTAAAAAAAAAACATATATATATATATATATGTAGGCTGGGTGCAGTGGCTCACGCCTGTAATCCCAGCACATTGGGAGGCTGAGGAAGGCAGATCACCTGAGGCCAGGAGATCGAGACCAGCCTGACCAACATGGAGAAACCCTATCTCTACTAAAAATACAAAAAATTAGCCAGGCATGGTGGCAGGGCACGCCTGTAATCCCAGCTACTTGGGAGGCTGAGGCAGGAGAATTGCTTGAACCTGAAAGGTGGAGGTTGCAGTGAGCCAAGATCACACCATTGCACTCCTGGGAAAAAAGGGCGAACTTCCATCTTAAAAAATATATATATATATTTTTATATATAATTATATGTATACATATAATTATATAGTATATAATTATAAGTATACATATAATTATACATATTTAATTATATAATATTAATATATAAATATAATTATATATAATAAATTTATATATATAAAATATATATGAAATATATATAACATATTTTATATATAAAATATGTATATATTTTATATCTATAAATGGCTCCCACTTATAAGTGCAGACATGTGGTATTTGGTTTTCTGTCCCTGTGTGAATTTATAATATATATATTTAGATATTATATACTTTACATATTTATATATTATATATTTAATATATTAATATATTATATAGTTATATATAATTATATATTTATATATTATATAATATATATTATATAATATATATTAATATATATTTTTTCTCAAATATATATATTTATTTCTGGTGTAATTATTCTGGTGTATAATTATTCTGGTGTAATATATATATATTTCTCATAACATATATTTTTTCTCAAATATATAATTACATATTATATATTTATATATGAAATATTTAAATATTTCACATATAATTTTATAATATATAAATATTTCATATATAAAGTATATATTATATATATGTATGTATAAATACAACACACAGAAAGTATTTGGTCATGGCTTAACAAAACTGGATCCTGATACACCGTCCTGTGAGGTCTAGCACATAGAAATTCCTCTAAGTGCACCAGTGTTATTTTATTGGTTAATTTTTCATTCCTGATCTCTGAGAGGAGCGAATCCTCTGAAGAGTCTTGACTCTCTTTTTCTCTTTCTTCCCTCCCTCCATAAATATGGCAATGGGTGTGGAAGGCTGGGATGACACATTTTTGGACTTCTCAGGCCTTGCAAGACTCTCTTTAGGAAAATAAGTAGAGGAATTAGACTATAGTAATTAGACTCCAGTGTTACTGGAGTCGGTGCACCACAGTTACCAGTGATTGCCCGTGGGTGAGTGTTCATGTGGGTACAGTGATGGCACTAAACACGTTTGTGTAAAATATCCTGGCATGCATGCCACTACATGGGAGCTTTCATTTCTATGCGATCAGGATTTATGGCTTAAAAGGTCTGTAAAATTATACTTTCTGTAGCTGTTACCAGATTGCTTTTAAAATTCAGTTTTACATTTCTATCAGCAACATAGGAAAGTACTTTTTAAAAAATTTTTTACCTTCTTATCCATGCTTCTGCCCACAATAGGTAATATAAGTCATTTAAATGTTTGCCAATTAAATGGCTGTATAGTGAAAAAAATCTCCTTATTGTTTTAATTTGCTTTTCTCAAATGACTAGTGAAACTATACAACTTTGACTATGCTTGTGACCATTTGGACCTCTTTTCCTTGAAACATCTCAGAGTTTAGTCACTCTTTTATAAATTATGTGTCCTTTTCTTGACAATTTTTAACAGCTCTCTCAGGTTATTAATATCACCCTCAGTTTGCCTGATTTATAAAAGTTTTCCAAATTTACCATTTACTTATTAACTGTGTTAATAGTAAATTTTCATGCAAAAGTTTAATTTTTTTATATAACGAAATATCTCTGTCTCTTGCAAGGATTTTGTTGTTGTTGTTTATTAAACAAGGTCTTCTGTCACACAAGATGGCACGTTGGACATTCCTTGTAAGTTTTTCCTCCTCGTTTTTTATAGTTTGTGTCATATAGCTGGAATTTTTTGGACATATATGATGTCAGAAGGTATAGAATTCTATTTGTAAGGTCAATAACATTTTTCAGGCATTATTTATTAAATAACTTATTATCTCCCCTGAATTGCACTACCTTTTGAATCATATCTTAAATTCTTATATAAATAAAAACTAATTCTGAATTTCCTAGTCTAGTTAACTGATATTTCTGTGTAAACTTATACCAATGTTATTGTTATTGCTTAGAATATATTGGCTTTGCAATATGATGTGAGTTCCATTAAAGCAAGTTTCCCTCACTGTTCTACTTTTCATAAATTTTCTCTCTCACATTAATTTTTATATACACTTAAAGAAATTGTATCCAATTAAAAACAAGTCAGTTGGAATTTGAAATAGAATTTCTTGGATATATATATATTATTTTATGAGATTTACATTTTAATAGATTGTCTTCTCATCCAAAAATGTTACATTTTGTTTGTTCAGACCTTATTATATGCCTTCAATGATATCACATAGTTTTATTCTGTGGAATCTCTAGTAATCCTGTCAACTTTATTCCTAAGTATTTTGAAGTTGTTATCTGAGTGAATGCAACTTTTATTCATTTCCAATTCTAGATGCTTTGGCTCAAGTTTTGTGCATTTGTTTTGTATACAGTCACTACAGAAGTTTCCAGTTTATTCTACTGAGTGTTTTTTTTACTAGGATCTCTCGAATTTTCTAGTTGTATTATAATAATATCCAATATTTCACCAGTTGTTCTCTTTTGATATTGTATTTGCAGCATCCAAGACAATTTTACTATAGTTAGCCAGTTCTAAAGTATATATATTTTCACAGTTTAACATGTCTAATTCATGGCACCTTAAAATAATAATTAGCATTTTTCTTTCTTAGAGGTACACAAAATAATGCTCTGTAATTAATAGTGTCTGGTACTTGACAAAAATGGCAATAAAAATTTTAAAGCTGGACGTGATGGCTTACACCTGCAATCTCAGCACTTTGGGAGGCTGAGGTGGGCAGATTGCTTGAGCTCAGGAATTCAAGACCAGCCTAGAAAACATAGTGAAACACTGTCTCTACAAAAAATACAAAAATTAGCTGGGTGTGCTGGTGCGCAGCTGTAGACTCAGCTACTGAGGAGGCTGAGGTTGGAGAATCACTTGAGTCCTGGAGATTGAGGCTGCAGTGAGCCATGATCGCACCACTGCACTCCAGTCTGGGTGATAGAGTGAGACCTTTTCTCAAAAAAAAAAAAAATAAATAAAAATTAAAATGGTGATGTGATCTCTTTATTTGTACATTTTAATTCAATATTTTGCAACAGGAAAATTTACTGGGTGTTTTGGTAAATTATTTTTATTTCCATTTAAATAATTACTCAATTTATATTTTAGTTATAGTTTTATTTGCCTAAAATATCATTAAGCATCTATAGATATAAATTTATGTTTTTATTCTTTTAAAATTTATTGATGTCATAAATTATGTTACTAGATCTCCAGATATAAAAAATAATTATAACACTGACATTAAAACTTACAAATTGGCATATTATTTTATTTTATACAGTCTTGGATTCTATTAAGTAATATTTTTATTTAGAATTATGCATTTAGGCTCATCAGTGTAATTGAGCTATACTTGTATTTTTTCATTTGTTATTTTTTAGGTTTATTATCAGTTATGCTAGCCTCATAAAATAGAGAGTTTTCCATATCTTTTCCCACAGCCTGAAGTACCTTAAATAAATTTGAAACTATATTTTTGCAAAATTTTGGTCTTAGGAACACTTTATACTGTTAAAAATTATTGAGGACCCCCAAAGCTTTAGTTTACATGTGCTACATCCATTGATAGGCACCAAATTAGAAATTTAAACTAAAAAAAACTTTTAAATATTTATGCATCAATTTATTTAAGAAATAAACCTATTACCTATTAGCATAAATAATACATTTTATAACAAAATACAATATTTCACCAAACAAAAATCATTGAGAGAAAAATGATGTGGTTTTATAATTTTGAAAATCTCATGAGTAGCTTCACAGAGGACAGCCAGAATCTCAAATCTGCTTCTGCCTTAATCTGTTGCAATGTCATACACTGATGCAGAATTTCTGCTCCTTAGCTCAGATAAATCCAGGTTCTTGTATTATGATCAGAAAAATTTAGGCACATGGACAAATTGAAGGCTGAAGAGAGCAGAATTTTTTGGACAAAAAGGAAAAAAGAGAAAAAAAGTGAGGGGGGTCCTGCTAACAGGCTACCATCTCACAGATTGAGTACCAGGCCACCACACAGGAGCTAAAGAGGCCAGGCCCCTCCCCCTTGCACATGGCATGAACTTCCCATGGCTCCACTCCACTCTCCCAGCAGGCAGGCAAGTCCCCAGTCCGTTGTGGGCATGTGCAGACAAGACCCTGGGCACGTTCCCTCATCTATACAAAAGCATCTGATGTAAACACTTGTGGGGTGGCTTGGAGATTCTCTAGGGACCCTCCCTCAGCTGCCTCCTGCATCTATCATTCCCCACCTAAAGAAATACATCTAATGGAGCTGTTAGAGTAAGGATAAGGATAAGGCAAAGACAAATCTGAAGTGCGTCCTGCTGACAAGGGGTACTGTTTTGGGAAAACAGCAGTCAGATCTCCCTCAGAGTTTGATCTAAGGGTTCCCAGTAGAAGAGGGCATTGTCCAGGGCTCTAGTTGCATGACTGGTTGGAGTTTGTTGGCCTGAAGGTGAGAAGAGACAAACTGGGTTATTAGAAAACATGTATCAAAAGAAAACAAGGTGGGATAAGAAGAGCTCAAAAATCCTGAGGCCTTTTACTGGTTTGCACTGCAAGCGGGAGCCTTAAGAGCAAGGCTAGGAAAACATGCAGTTTCTAGGGCCTAATAAACAGGTATGGCTGGAAGACAAAACAGATTTTGAGAGGGCTCCATCCGCCTCTAATTCCTGAGGCTGCATGAGGAAATCCGAGGTCTCTCCCCACTCATGAGTATATTATGAGTGGCAAGGCAAAATGGAGAAAAATAATTCAGTCAAATGAGAAAAAAACCTTTTTCCAGGAAAGCAAGAGCCAAGAAGAAAAAACATAAAGGCCTTTTAAATATACCTGTAACTTGGACATTCACTTTTAATTAAGCTGAGCGCTCTTTAAGAAAACCCTTTATATCCCTGTTACCCCACTTTAGCTGTGCCAAGAGGCCAATATTTCTGGCTTTCAAACTTTACTAAAGGCTCAGGAAAAGGAAAATCCAAGGCAGTTTGTAGAATGGAAGACAATCAACAAATGGCAAAAGTCACACAGATATCAAACCAGAAAAGACTCATTCCCTAAGCCAGGATTGAACGTAGGCTGCCATTGCAAAATGGCAGAAGCTAAAATAAAGCACTACCATGTGGTTACAGGTCACAATTCCAAGGATGTAAAACAATATGGAGGCCTGCAGCAAAGTTTGCTGTTGACCATACAGAAAGACATGCAGAGCACACCAGATTGGCTGCAGCTTAAGACCAACCTTACAAATCCTTTTTTATAATTCAAACTTTACAGAGAATATAAACAGTGACAGCTGGGGCCCTGGCCTAGTAAAACGTTTTCTAAAAGGGGGAAAAAAGGTCTCACTTAAAAGTTAACTCCTGACCTGGTGGAGAAAAGAAAAAAAGCTTAAAGTGCAGGGGTGGGAAGATGTTTTTTAATTATGCAAATGGTTCCTACAACAGAGAGAGAAATTTAATTACTGTCTGATGGAGCTGGACCCCTTGGCCAGGGGTGGGGAAGACTCCGTAGATGCATTGCAGGGAACACTGGCCAGCTTGCCACATGGGGCCTGGGTCCCTGAGGCCACTTTGGGGCCCAGGCAGTGGCTGTGGCTCATTTCTGCCCAGCATGGCCGTTAGACACCACACGCACCTGTGGCAGTTATGGCCATGCATCCCAGTCAGGAGCGAAGGGGGGCAGGGAGCACCTGTGGCCATTGAGGTAGGGTGGTACACAGTTTCCTCTATCCTCATAAGAAGTCCGAGTACAAAAAGGCTTAGAAACAAAAGGGAAAATGATTTTTTTGGTTCACATCTTACTCACCCTTCCTCATGTCCCTGTACACGCCACCAAAATGATGCAGAATTTTTGCTTCTTAGTTCAGCTAAATCCCGGTTCTTGTGTCATGACCAGGATAAATGAGGCATGTGGACACATTGAAGGGTGAAGAGAGCAGAATGTATGGGCAAATAGGAAAAAGGAGAAAAAAAAAGCTGTCAGCAAATTGAGAGGGACTCCTGCTAACATGCTACCACCTCACAGATTGAGTACCAGGCCAACACACAGGACCAGAAGAGGCCAGGCTCCTCCTGCTGCACAGGCCATGAACTTCCTGTGGCTCCACCTTATTCTCCCAGTGCACAGGCGGGTCCCCAGTCCATTGTGGGCATGTGCAGACAACACCCTGGGCAGGTTCCCTCATCTGCACGAAAGCATCTGATGTAAACACTTGCGGAGTAGGTCGGAGATTCTCTGGGGACTCCCTCGACCCCCACCTTATCTGCGTCCTGCATCTATCAATACCACATAAGCCTCTGGGAAACTCCACTGTACGTTCACAAAAGAATGAGAGTAAAAAAGAAATAGGTTCTTAGTATTATCATAAGAATAATTTTTACATCATGCCCCCAGAAGGATTCTAGGGACCCCATAGGTTCTGGTACCAAACTTTGAAAACCACTACTTTAAAGTTTAGATAAAACCAACTCCCTATAGTCCTTTGTCACTACAGAACCTGCCTCTTTAATATTTGAAATTAGACAGATGCACTACAGTAAATATAAGTAGTCCCAGAAGAGAAAAGTGGTAGGGAAAAGCAACACAATACCCAGTTTGAATTACTATAGGGAAAAGAAAGTCTGCACTCTTGGTATAGGTAAGTGTTCATGAAGGAAGCTTGGTTTTGACACAGTAGGAGGTTGAGATTGAAGGAGTCGCTGTGGGTAATATTGGATCTTGAGTGAATTAATTCTTCAGTCACAGTTGTGTCTAGAGAAGTAGCTCTTTAATAAGGTAGGCATATTTAAAGCCCCTAATGACAGAACAGGTGATATTTCTCATATAGAATCAATACATATAATTATCTTGCTCTCTGAACACGTTTTCTTGCTATAGGAAAACTAGAAAGATGAGCTGAAAGATAGGGAACAGAATGCTGAAAGGGAAGGGAAGGTTGATATTGGAGGCAATTTTGAAAAACTTCAAAAAGACACCAAGCATTAGATCTTACCTTGTCAGAGAATCACTTAACACAGCCTTTTGACAGTTGGTTAGAGTAGGTTCAAAACACGTTTTTGTGCCTGGAGAGAAATAATATCTACAATTAATTTTGCTTAGTTTTACACCAAGTTGATTGACTGTATCCTACCAATTAAAACACAGAAAGTAGTTTTTTCTGAATATTTACACATTGATTAAAATTTTGAAAAATCAAGTTTTCTTAAACAGTTTGTGGTGAAATTAAGAATTTTATATACCTGTAATTGCCCAGTGGGTTAACCTTGCCCACTCCCTAGACAGAGTCTATTTATCAAGACGGGAGAATTGCAATGGAGAAAGAGTAATTCCCGCAGAGCCCACTGTGTGGGGGACTGGAGTTTTATTGTTTATTATTAGATCAGAGTTTGTCAAGATAATCTAGCAGGTAGAGGCTGGGGAAGTGGGGAGTGCTGCTGATTGGTCAGGTTGGAGATGGAATCATAGGGGGTTGAAGGGTGGTCTTCTTGCTGTCTTTTGTCCCTGGGTGGGATGGCAGACTGGCTGAGCAGCTATATTATTGGTTTGGGTGGTGTCAGCTGATCCATGGAGTACAGAGTCTGCAAAATATCTCAAGTGCTGATCTTCACTTTTACAATAGTGATGTTATCCCCAGGAGCAATTTGGGTAGGTTCAGACTCTTGGAGCCAGAGGCTGGATGACCCCTAAACCATAACTTCTAATATTGTAGCTAATTTGTTAGTCCTGGAAAGGCAGACTGGTCCCCAGTCAAGAAGGGGGTCTTTTCAGGAAAGGGCTGTTATCAATTTTGTTTCAGAGTCAAACCATGAACTGAATTCCTTCCCATAGTTAGTTTGGTGCACGCCCAGAAATGAGCAAGGATAGCTTAAAGGTTAGAAGCAACATGGAATCAATTAGGTCTGATCTCTTTCACTGTCATGGTTTCCTCAGTTATAATTTTTGCAAAGCCAGGTTCATAGCTGATAAAACTGGCTGCAGATAAAACATACAAATGCAAAGATTGTAAAATATGTTACTATACTGACACTTAATCCTTTTTTAAAAGACCGTAATTTTTAAGATTATTTCTAGATTAGTTTTGTAACCTTCTAGGGGTATGGCTATTATAAAGAACTCCAACTATGATAAACTCAAAGAAACTTACACCAAAACACATTATAATAAAATTATTTAAAAATAATAAAAAGAGAGAGAGAACTTTAAAGGCAGTAAGACAGAAGCAACCAGAAACCTTGGAGGCCAGAAGGCAGTAGGTTGATATATTCAAAATACTGAAAGAAGTACATTAGAAGAAAAAAAAAAGTCAACTGAGGATTCTGTATCTGACAAAACTGCCATTCAAAAGTGAGGGAGAAATTAAGATATTTCCAGATAAACAAAAGCCGAGGGAGCTCATTACCTCTAAACCTGCTCTGCAAGAAATACAAAAAAGGGTCCTTCAGGTTGAAATAAGAGAAGCTAGACAGTAACTTAAAGCCACTTGAAGAAATCAAATCTCCAGTAAACATAAATACATGGGCAATTATAAAAGCTACTACTATTTTCATTTTGGTTTGTACATCCTCTTTTTATTTTCTACTAGATTTAAAATACAAATTTGTTAAAATAACTTATAATGTATGCTATTGGGCACACAATGTATAAAGATGTAATCTATTACATTATAATAAAATAGTGGACGGAGCTGTTACGAGCAGAACTTCTGTAAGCTTTTGAAGTTGTTGGCATAAGTTTATATTAGATTGTTATAACTTTAGGAGACTAAATGTAATTTCCATGGTAACAAAGAATGTATCTACAGAAGCTACACAAAAGGAATTGAGAAGGGAATCAAAATGTTTCATTAAAAAATTAACTACACACAAAGGAACATAGGGACGAAAGAAATGAGGAAGAAGAGAGCATAAGATATATAAGAAACAGAGAGAAAAGTGGCAGATGTAAGCCCTTTCTTATTAATAATTAACTTTAAATAGACTACACACTCCAATCAAAAGACAGAGATTGGCAGGATGGATAAAAAATTGAAACCACCCCAACTATATGATGCCAAAAAAGAGACTCATTTTAGATCTAAAGACACAAATAGCTTGAAGGTGAAAAGATAAAGAAAGATATTCCATAGAAATAATAACTACAAAAGAGATGGACTGGCTATATTAATATCAGATAGAATTGCCTTTAAATCAAATTTACAAGAAACAAAGAATAAATTATATTTTAATAAAAGACTACAGCAAGAATATATAATTCTAAACATTTATAGATCTAATAATAAACCCTCAAAATATATATAGCAAGAAAGTGACAAAATAGAAGGGAAAAATATACAGTTCTACAATAATAACTGGAGACTTCAATACCCCACCATCAATAGATGATTGAGCAACCAGACAGAAATGAAGAAATAGAGAACTTGAACAATACAATAAACCAACCAACTACACCTAATTAATATATAAAGAACACTCCACCCAACAAGCACAGAGTACACATTCTTCTCAACTGCACATGGAACATTCTCTAGGATAAACCCTATGCTGGGTCACAAAACACATCTCAATAGATTTTAAGAGATAGCTATTATATTAACTACCTTCTCTAACCACAATGAGATAAGGTAGATGTCAATAACAGAAGGAAAACTGGAAAATTCACTATTATATGGAAATTAGATGAAATAGTCTTAAATAATCAATAGGTCAAAGAAGAAATTACAGGGGAAATTACAAAGAACTTGGAATACAAATGAAATCACAACATTCCAAAACTTATTAGATGCAGTAAAAGTAATGCTCAGAGGGAAACTTATAGTTGTAAATACGTACATTGAAAAGAAGAAAGACCTCATATCAATAACTTAATTTTACATCATAAGAAGCTAAAAAAAAGAACAAGCTAAATTCAAAGCTAGGAGATGGAAGGAAATAATAAGGATTAGAGTGAAAACAATAAAAGATACTTGAGAAACAATACAGAAAATTCATGAAAAGAAAAGTTTGTACTTAAAAAAACCAGCAAATTGTCAAAGCTTTAGCTAGACTGACAAAAATATAAAGAGAGTAAATGCAAATAATTAAAATCATAAATGAAAGTGAGAATGTTACCTTATAAAATAAAAAGAATTATAGGAAAATGCTATCACAATTGCATGTCAATTAATAAGGTAACCTAGAAGAAATGGACAAATTCCCTAAAACACACAAATTATTTAAACTAATTGAAGAATAAATAGAAAATCTCAACAGAACTGTAACAAGTAAAGAGATTTAATCAGTAATCAGAACCTCCCAGTGGGGAAAAGTTCTGGACCAGATGGCTTCACTGGTGAATTCTACCATGCATTTAAAGAGAAATAATACCAATCCTGAAATGCTTCCAAAAACTTGAAGAGAAAGGAACACTTCCAAACTCATTCTATGAGGCTATCATTACTCTGATACAAAACTCAGATAAAGTTATTGCAAGAGAACTGTAGACCTTTATTCCCTGTGAATATTTATTCAAAAATCTGCAGTAAAATATTAGAAAATCCAATCCCATCACATATTAAAAGGATTATACATCATCATCCAATGGGACTTTAGGAACACAAGGATGGTTCAAAGAAGAAAATCAATTAATGTAATAAAACAATTAATATAATAAAGGTAAAAAACACACATAAAAGCCATATGTGAGAAATTCAAAGGGGAAAGACTGGAAGTGTTCCCCTTAAGGTGAGGAACAAGACAAGGATGCCTGCCTTCATCACTACTATTTAACATTGTAATGGATATTCTGGCTGGAGCTATCAGACAAGAAAGAGAAGTAAAAGGAATCCTCTCTTCACAGACGATATGACCCTACATGTAGAAAATCTCAAATAATTCATAAGAAATCTTCTAGAGTTAATAAATAAATTCTGCAGAGTTGCAGAGTATAAGATCAACACACAAAAAAATCAGTTGTGTTTCCATACACCAACAATGAACAACTCAAAAGGAAATTTTTTAATAGGTACAGAGTTTTTGCTAAGAATGACAAAAATGTTTTGGGTATAGAAATGGTGATGGTCACACAACATTGTGAATGCATTTAATGCCACTGGATTATATGTTTATGAATAGTTACAATAATAAATATTACATTGTATGTATGTGATCATAATTTTAAAATAAGAATTTATAGAAAAATAACTACAGATATAATAATACCCACTAACTATACAGAACTATGGCCCACAAGCCTAACGTGCTGCCCAGTTTTGTATAGCCCATGAGCCAAAAATGGTTTGTATATTTTTTAGCGATTGAAAATGTAAGAGATTTATATTATTTCATGCCATGTAAAATTACATGAATTAAAACTTTCAGTGTTCATGAATAAAGCTTTATTGAAATATCCCCAAAAAGACCAGCTGAAATTGCTGAACTTGGATAATTGATTAATTGATATTGTTTCTCAGCAGGTCCTATGTAGGGAAAAGAAAGAGAGATCAGATTGTTACTGTGTTTATGTAGAAAAGGAAGACATATCAAACTCCATTTTGATCTGTTCTAAGAAAAATTGTTTCTGCTTTGAGATGCTGTTAACCTGTAACTGTAGCCCCAACCCTGTGCTCACAGAAACATGTGCTGTATTGAATCAAAGTTTAATGGATTTAGGGCTGTGCAGGATGTGCCTTGTTAACAATATGTTTGCAGGCAGTATGCTTGGTAAAAGTCATCGCCATTCTCCATTCTCGATTAACCAGGGACACCATGCACTGCAGAAGGCTGCAGGGACCTCTGCCCAAGAAAGCCTAGGTACTGTCCAAGGTTTCCCCCCACTGAGACAGACTGAGATATGGCCTCGTGGGAAAGGAAAGACCTGACAGTCCCCCAGCCCGACATCCCACCCATAAAGGGTCTGTGCTGAGGAGGAGTAGTGAAAGAGAGAGGCCTCTTTGCAGTTGAGATAAGAGGAAGGCTTCTGTCTCCTGTTCGTCCCTGGGAATGGAATGTCTAGGTGTAAAGCAGACCAATCCCATTGGTTCTATTCTGAGACAGGAGAAAACCGCCCTGTGGCTGGAGTCGAGATATGCTGGCAGCAATACTGCTCTGTTACTCTTTTCTACGCTGAGATGTTTGGGTAAAGAGAAACATAAATCTAGCCTACGTGCACATCCAGGCACAGTACCTTTCCTTGAACTTATTCATGATACCGATTCCTTTGCTCACATGTTTCCCTGCTGACCTTCTCCCCACCTGTTGCCCTGCTACACTCCCCTCGCTAAGATAGTAAAAATAATGATCAATAAATACTGAGGGAACTCAGAGTCTGGTGCCGGTGCGGGTCCTTCGTATGCTGAGCGCTGGTCCCCTCGGCCCACAGTTCTTTCTCTGTACTTTGTCTCTGTGTCTTATTTCTTTTCTCAGTCTCTCCTCCCACCTGAATCGAAATACCCACAGGTGTGGAGGGGCTGGCCCCCTTCAGTCCTAAGCGTGAGTCCCTTTCCCAGGATGAGTCAATCCCAAGGCCACAATCATCAGGCCGAGTGAGCTCTCTTTCACACAAAGGCACTTCTTTCCACACAGTTAAACAAATGTCTGTGCCTTTTGACTTTCTCATAAGCTTTAGTCGTTTCTCAAACTTGTGTGTCCTGAGTTGATATGCATTTTAGAGTTTCCATTTATTGGTGTTTGAAAACTGGTACTTTCCACTGGAGTGCTTAACCTTTATTTTGTATGATGACTGATTGAACTGATTATTCTTGTACTTGTCACACTTTCAACACTGCTTGGCTTGCTTTCAAGTTTCTGCTTCCGAAACCAGAAAGAAGTACATGTTGTTCATTCTCTAATCTGAAACTCATATGAAAGAAAAAAAAGTGCTCGTACATATAATCTTCCCTAACTTATTAAAATCAGTAACGAATTAAACATTTTGTTCACCTCTTTTTATATTCTAGCTACCTTCTCCAAACTTTATATGAATTTGCTTTTTTCAGCATAATTATTAATTCATGGCTTTTTATAGACTCCACTTTTCCAAATAACAATGTTAACACTATTTTCATTTTTAAATGTCACAGTGAGTCTAATAGGATTCCTTCAGTGAGCAGCTTTGCCCTTTCAGAATCATTGCTAGCAGCCTTCAAAACCAACCTTGCTTTCTGGACATAACACAATATTCTGATTTGTCCTTATTTTGCCTGCTTTAAGACAAAAAACAGTTATACTACAAGAAGACAAAATTCTTTTAGAGGGAAATAGATCAAACAAATTTTGGTCATTAGTGTTGCACATGAAAATAACTGGTGGGGGGTGGGTGTGGTGGCTCACGCCTGTAATCCCAGCACTTTGGGAGGCTGAGGTGGGTGGATCCTGAGGTCAGGAGTTTGAGACCAGCCTGGCCAAGATGGTGAAACCCCGTTTCTACCGAAAACACAAAAATTAGCTGGGCATGATGGCACGTGCCTGTAATCCCAGCTACTCCGGAGGCTGAGGCAGGAGAATCGCTTGAACCCGGGAGGTGGAGGTCGTGGTGAGCCAAGATCACGCCACTGCACTCTAGCCTGGGCAACAGAGCAAGACTCCATCTCAACACACAAGAAAGAACTGGTGGGGTAAAAGTACTACTGGGCTGGAAGATGTGTTTTTTATTTTTTTATTATTATTTTTATTTTTTGAGACAGAGTCTCCCTCTGTCACCAGGCTGGAGTACAGTGGCAAGATCTTGACTCAGTGCAACCTCTGCCTCCTGGGTTCAAGCGATTCTCCTGCCTCAGCCTCCCAAGTAGGTGGGGTTACAGTCACATGTCACTACACTTGGCTAATTTCTATTTTTAGTGGAGATGAGGTTTCACGTTATTGGCCAGGCTGGTCTTGAACTCCTGACCTCAACTGATCCACCCGTCTTGGCCTGCCAAAGTGCTGGGATTACAGGTGTGAGCCACCGCACCCAGCCTGGAAGATGTTATTTTGAAGATATGAGTTCACATCATTTTTCGAATTTAACATATGCTGTTTTTTAGAGTGTGAGGTGTTATGTGCCACTAATACTTTCCACTAATACTTTCTACTATGTTGATAGTTACTTGATTAAGACAGTTGTCTAAAAAAAGGTAAAATCAATGGAAGGAATCAGCAGGCAAATCTAAGAGTTACTGGGCTTAAAGATGAGGTAGAGAAAGAAAGAGAGATAGAAAGTTTATTCAAAGGGATGGCAGAGAACTTCCCAAACCCAGAGAAAGATATCAATATTCAAATACAAGAAGGTTATAGAACACCAAGGAAATTTAACCCAAATAAGAGTACTTCAGGCCATTTAATAATCGAACTTTCAAAGATCAAAGATAAAGAAAGGATCCTAAAAGCAGCAAAAGAGAGAGAGAGAGAGAGAAAAAAAACACATACAATGGAGCTCCAATACATCTGGCAGCAGACTTTTCAATAGAAACCTTACAGGCCGGGAGAGAGTGGCATGACATATTTAAAGTGCTGAAGAAAAATATCTTTTACCCTAGAATAGCATATCCAGTGAAAATATCTTTCAAACATGAAGGAAAAATAAAGACTTTCCCAGATAAACAAAAGCTGAGGGATTTCATCAATGCCAGGCCTGTCCTACAAGAAATGCTAAAGGGAGCACTTCAATCAGAAAGAAAAGGACATTAATGAGAAATAAGAAATCATCTGAATGTACAGAACTCACTGGTAACAGCAAGTACACAGGAAAACAGAGAATATTATAAGACTGTAACCGTGGTGTCTAAACTACTCTAATCCTAAGCAGATAAACTAAATGATGAACCAATCAAAATAATAACAACGTTTCAAGACATAAACAGTACAATATGATATAAATAGAAACAACAAAAAGTTTAAAAGCTGGGGTACGAGTACGAACTTAAGGTGTAAAGTTTTTATTAGTTTTATTTTTGCCAGTTTGTTTGTTTATACAAACACTGTTGTTATCAGCCTAATAGAACCAGAATAACCCAAGCTATCCTAAGCAAAAAATACAAAACTGGAGGAATCACATTACCTGACCTCAAATATTTTTTAAATTATACTTTCAGGTTTGATATATAGGTATACATGTGCCAAGCTGGTTTGCTGTGCCCATCAACTCATCATTTACATTAGGTATTTCTCCTAATGCTATCCCCCCGCCAGCCCCCCACCCACTGACAGGCCCAGGTGTGTGATGCTCCCCACCCTGTGTCCAAGTGATCTCATTGTTCAATTCTCACCTATGAGTGAGAACATGCGGTGTTTGGTTTTCTGTACTTGTGATAGTTGGCTGAGAATGATGGTTTCCAGCTTCATCCATGTCCCTGCAAAGGATGTGAACTCATCATTTTTTATGGCTACATAGTATTCCATGGTGTATATGTGCCACATTTTCTTAATCCAGTCTATCATTGATGGACATTTGGGTTGGTTCCAAGTCTTTGCTATTGTGGATAGTGCTGCAATAAACATACATGTGCATGTGTCTTTATAGTAGCATGATTTATAATCCTTTGGGTATATACCCAGTAATGGGATGGCTGGGTCAAATGGAAATTCTAGTTCTAGATCCTTGAGGAATCACCACACTGTCTTCCACAATGGTTGAACTAATTTACACTCCCACCAACAGTGTAAAAGCATTCCTATTTCTCCACATCCTCTCCAGCATCTGTTGTTGCCTGACTTTTTAATGATTGCCATTCTAACTGGTGTGAGATGGTATCTCATTGTGGTCTTGATTTGCATTTCTCTAATGACCAGTAATGATGAGCATTTTTTCATGTGTCTGTTGGCTGCATAGATGTCTTCTTTTGAGAACTGTCCATTCATATCCTTTGTCCACTTTTTGACAGGTTTTTTAATTTCTTGTAAATTTGTTTGAGTTCTTTGTAGATTCTGGATATTAGCCCTTTGTCAGATGGGTAGATTGCAAAAATTTTCTCCCATTCTGTAGGTTGCCTGTTCACTCTGATGGTAGTTTCTTTTGCTGTGCAGAAGCTCTTTAGTTTAATTAGATCCCATTTGTCTAGTTTGGCTTTTGTTGCCATTGCTTGTGTTGTTTTGGTCATGAAGTCCTCGCCCATGCCTATGTCCTGAATGGTATTGCCTAGGTTTTCTTCTAGGGTTTTTATGCTTTTAGGTCTAACATTTAAGTCTTTAATCCATCTTGAATTAATTTTTGTATAAGGTATAAGGAAAGGATCCAGTTTCAGCTTTCTACATATGGATAGCCAGGTTTCCCAGCACCATTTATTAAATAGGGAATCCTTTCCCCACTTCTTGTTTTTGTCAGGTTTCTCAAAGATCAGATGATTGTAGATGTGTGGTGTTATTTCTGAGGCCTCTGTTCTGTTCCATTGGTCTATATATCTGTTTTGGTACCAGTACCATGCTGTTTTGGTTACTGTAGCCTTGTACCTGACCTCAAATTTTACTACAGAGCTATAGTAATCAAAACAGCAGGGTATTGTCATAAAAACAGACACATATATCAATGGAACAGAACAGAGAACCCAGAAACAAATCTACACACCTACAGTGCACTCATTTTTAACAAGGTGCCAAGAACATACACTAGGGAAAAGACAATCTCTTCGATAAATAGTGCTGGGAAAACTGGATATCTATATGCAGAAGAATGAAACTAGACCCCTATCTCTTGCCATATGCAAAAAAATCAAATCAAAATGGGTTAAAAGTTTAAATCTAAGATCTCAAACTACGAAACTACTACAAGAAAACATTGGAGAAATCTTCAGGACATTGGTCTGGGCAAAAATTTCTTGACTAATACCCTATAAGCATAGGCAACCAAAGCAAAAACGGACAAACGGAATCATAAGTTACAAAGCTCTGCACAGAAAAGGAAACAATTAACAAAGTGAAGCGAAAACCCCCACAGAATGGGAGACAATATTTGCAAACTCTTCATCTGACAAGGTATTAATAACCAAAATACATCGGGAGCTCAAACAACTCTATAGGAAAAAAATGTAATAATCCAATTTAAAAAATGGTCAAAAGATTTGAATAGATTTTTTTTAATCTGTCATTATTTCCAGCTTTATCTTATAAAGTTTGTTTATTTTTCTTAGTTTTTTTTTATTATATTTTAAGTTTTAGGGTACATGTGCACAACCTGCAGGTTAGTTACATATGTATACATGTGTCATGTTGGTGTGCTGCACCCATTTACTCGTCATTTAACATTAGGTATATCTCCTAATGCTATCCCTCCCCTCTTCCCCCACCCCACAACAGGCCCCGGTGTGTGATGTTCCCTTTCCTGTGTCCATGTGTTCTCATTGTTCAATTCCCACCTATGAGTGAGAACATGCGGTGTTTGGTTTTTTGTCCTTGTGATAGTTTGCTGAGAATGATGGTTTCCAGCTTCACCCATGTCCCTACTAAGGACATGAACTCATCATTTTTTATGGCTGCATAGTATTCCATGGTGTATACGTGCCACATTTTCTTAATCCAGTCTATCATTGTTGGACATTTGGGTTGGTTCCAAGTCTTTGCTATTCTGAATAGTGCCGCAATAAACATACGTGCGCATGTGTCTTTACAGCAGCATGTTTTATAATCCTTTGGGTATTTACCCAGTAATGGGATTGCTGGGTCAAATGGTATTTCTAGTTCAAGATCCCTGAGGAATCGCCACACTGTCTTCCACAATGGTTGAACTAGTTTACAGTCCCACCAACAGTGTAAAAGTGTTCCTATTTCTCCACATCCTCTCCAGCACCTGTTTTTTCCTGACTTTTTAATGATCGCCATTTTAACTGGTGTGAGATGGTATCTCATTGTGGTTTTGATTTGCATTTCTCTGATGGCCAGTGATGATGAGCATTTTTTCATGTGTCTTTTGGCTGCATAAATGTCTTCTTTTGAGAAGTGTCTGTTCATATCCTTCGCCCACTTTTTGATGGAGTTGTTCGTTTTTTTCTTGTAAATTTGTTGGAGTTCATTGTAGATTCTGGATATTAACCCTTTGTCAGATGAGCAGATTGCAAAAATTTTCTCCCATTCTGTAGGTTGCCTGTTCAATCTGATAGTAGTTTTTTTTTTGCTGTGCAGAAGCTCTTTAGTTTAATTAGATCCCATTTGTCAATTTTGGCTTTTGTTGCCATTGTTTTTGGTGTTTTAGACATGAAGTCCTTGCCCATGCCTATGTCCTGAATGGTATTGCCTAGGTTTTCTTCTAGGGTTTTTATGGTTTCAGGTCTAATATTTAAGTCTTTAATCCATCTTGAATTAATTTTTGTATAAGGTGTAAGGAAGGGATCCAGTTTCAGCTTTCTACATATGGCTAGCCAGTTTTCCCAGCACCATTTATTAAATAGGGAATCCTTTCTCCATTTCTTGTTTTTGTCAGGTTTGTCAAAGATCAGATAGTTGTAGATATGCAGCATTATTTCTGAGGGCTCTGTTCTGTTCCATTGGTCTATATCGCTGTTTTGGTACCAGTACCATGCTGTTTTGGTTACTGTAGCCTTGTAGTATAGTTTGAAGTCAGGTAGCATGATGCCAATATCCCTGATGAACATCAATGCAAAAATCCTCAATAAAATATGAATCCAGCAGCACATCAAAAAACTTATTCACCATGATCAAGTGGGCTTCATCCCTGGGATGCAAGGTTGGTTCAACATGTGCAAATCAACAAACATAATCCAGCATATAAACAGAACCAATGACAAAAACCACATGATTATCTCAATAGATACAGAAAAGACCTCTGACAAAATTCAACAATGCTTCATGCTAAAAACTCTCCATAAATTAGGTATTGATGGGATGTATCTCAAAATAATAAGAGCTATCTATGACAAACCCACAGCCATTATCATACTGAATGGGCAAAAAACTGGAAGCATTCCCTTTGAAAACTGGCACAAGACAGGGATGCCCTCTCTCACCACTCCTATTCAACATAGTGTTGGAAGTTCTGGCCAGGGCAATCAGGCAGGAGAAGGAAATAAAGGGTATTCAATTAGGAAAAGAGGAAGTCAAATTGTCCCTGTTTGCAGATGACATGATTGTACATCTAGAAAACCCCATCGTCTCAGCCCCAAATCTCCTTAAGCTGACAGGCAACTTCAGCAAAGTCTCAGGATACAAAATCAATGTACAAAAATCACAAGCATTCTTATACAACAATAACAGACAAACAGAGAACCAAATCATGAGTGAACTCCCATTCACAATTGCTTCAAAGAGAATAAAATACCTGGGAATCCAACTTACAAGGGACGTGAAGGACTTCTTCAAGGAGAACTACAAACCACTGCTCAATGAAATAAAAGAGGATACAAACAAATGGAAGAACATTCCATGCTCATGGGTAGGAAGAATCAATATCGTGAAAATGGCCATACTGCCTAAGGTATAGATGCAATGCCATCCCCATCAAGCTACCAATGCCTTTCTTCACAGAATTGGAAAAAACTACTTTAAAGTTCATATGGAACCAAAAAAGAGCCCTCATTGCCAAGTCAATCCTAAGCCAATAGATGTTTCTTAAAACAAGACATACCCATGCCAAACAGATATACGAAAAGGTGCTCAGCATCACTGATCAGCAGAGAAATGCAAATCAAAACTACAATGAGATATTATCTCAACCTAGTTAAAATGGCTTATATCCAAAAGGCAAGCAATAGCAAATGCTGGAGAGGATGTGGAGAAAAAGGGAAGCCTCGTACACTGTGGTGAAAATGTAAATTAGTACAACCACTATGGAGAACAGTTTGGAGGTTCATCAAAAAACGGAGAAGAGAGCTATCATATGATTCATCAACCCCACTGCTGGGTATGTACCCAAAAGAAAAGAAATCAGTATACAGAAGAAATATCTGCACTCCTGTATTTGTTGCAGCACCGTTGACAATAGCTAAGATTTGGAAGCAACCTAAGTGTCCATCAACAGATGAATTGATAAAGAAAATATGGTGCATATACACAGTGGAGTATTATTCAACCATAAAAAAGAGTGAGATCCTGTCATTTGCAAGAACATGGATGGAACTGGAGATCATTATGTTAAGTGAAGTATGCCACGGACATAAAGACAAACATCACATATTCTCACTTATTTTTGGAATCTAAAAATCTAAACAATTGAACTCATGGACATAGAGAGTGGAAGGATGGTTACCAGACGCTGGGAAGTGTAGCTGGGGAGGGGGGTTGGAGGGGAGGGAAGTGGAGGTGGTTAATGGGTACAAAAAAAGTAGAAAGAATAAATAAGACCTAAATATTTGATAGCACAACAGGGTGACTATAGTCAATAATAACTTCATTGTACATTTTTAAATAATTAAAAGAGTACAATTGGATTGTTTTAACACAAATGATAAATGCTTGAAGGAATGGATACCCCATTCTACATGATGTGATTATTACACATTGCATGCCTGTATCAAAACATCTCATGTACAACATAAATATATATACCTACTATGTACCCACAAAAATTTTTAAAAAATTAAATAGTGGAATCGAATCAAGTCTTTAAATCCAATATCTATTTACAGAAAGAGATAGAGAAACCAACTAACGCCACAAAAGAAATGATAAGACAAATCCAGAATGCACGATATTAGAATATCCTCTCCAGACAGCCAAGACAGCTGGCCCAGTTCTTCCAGCACACAAAATGCATGCGTGTGTGTGTGCGTGTATGTGTGTGTGTGTGTGTGTGTGTGTGTGTCTATGTGTGATGGGTCTTCCACCAGGTTACTTAAGGGTGAATGTCTGCTGCTTAAACCTTGAAGGCCAGGTGGTGAGCCAAGGTCATGGTGTCCAGCTGAGGAGCAGGTGTTCCTGAGAACCCAAACATCCCCAAAAGGATCTGAGAACCTACCAAGAGAAACAGCCCCATCACAGCCACACAGCAGGCAAAGTGCCAGAAAATTAGCTTAAAAGCAGCTTAGAGACAGGAGGAGGCGCAGATCTCTGGAGCTGTTCTGCCACTATCCAGGAGTGCCCCACGTAAAGTCTTAATAAACTCATCTACTCACCAAGCTAGACTTGTTACAGTCATTCTTTGGCCTCTCAGTTCCCTCCCAGTTTGGGGGAAGGTTTTTCTCATCACAATTGGAATCATGAACAGGATCCTAGATACCAAATGATGTGTGAGGGAGGGGCGTCTGCAGGGGGAATACTGGGGTGGCCGGTAACATGTATGTGGGGTGAAGCTGCCCAACTGCTGAAGCTATGTGGGCCATCACATGAGTACCAGGATGCTCAGAAAACAGACAAGGCCTGAGCACATATTGCAAGAAGCTAATATATTAAAAGTATGATAAGGAGAGCAAACGTGCTGTTTCTGCAAAAATGCTGGCTACTGAGGAATCATTAGAGCAGGAAAGGAAGAAAGGGTAGGAACACCCGCAGAAGTTCAGAGGCATGCCAGGTTTGCTAGGAATCCAGCTGATTACATATTATGGTCTATTCCTGTGCATATTTTAAAACTGATGGGCAAATTGAAAATAAAAATTCAGAGCTTAAATGGTTAACCCGTAACTACAGAGTTAATGAGAGTCTTCTGTAACTATTTATCCTTTATTTCCTTTCCTGCCTGCTTTGTATCTGCTGTTATTAAGCTACTGGTGTTGAGATAAAACTTACTATTTGTATTAATGTCAATTCAAGGTCACTTAGTGATTTGTCTGGTACAATAAGCCTTTAGTTAGACTTATCAAGCAAAAAATAGACAAGATGCAAATTATTAAAATAAAAAATGAAAGAGGAGACATTGCAATCTCTTTAAAGATAACTCAGATGAAATGACAAATTCCTAGAACAATATAAAATACTAACACTGAAAAAATGGATAATATAAACAGTTCTATAACAAGTAAAGTGATGTAAATACTAATATATATTTTTATAAATTCACAAAGAAAAGCCCAGATACAGTTGGCATCATGGATGAGTTCTACCAAACATTTAAAAATTAACACTAACTTTCTCAAACTCTTCCAAAAATAGAGGAGGAAAGAACACTTTTAAGGACTCACTTTTAGAGACCAGTATTACCAGATACCAAAGCCAGACAGACATCACAAGAAAAAAAATTACAGAACAAAATCCCTTATGAATACAGCTATAAAAATATAAATAAAATGCCAGCAAATTGAACCCAGTAGCACATAAAAGCATTATATACCATGACCAAGTGAAGCTTATTCCAGGAATGCAATATTGTTTGAACATACAAAAATCAATCAATATAATACATTGTATTAATAGAATGAAGAACAAAACTACATGATCATCTCAACAAATTCAGAAAAAGCATTTTAAAAACTCCAACATCCTTTCATGATTTTAAAAAAACACTCAAAAAACTAGGAATAAAAGAGATTTTATTTTATAAAGAGCAACTATTAAAAAAAAACCCAAACTTCATACTTATTGGTAAAAGACTGAACGCTTTCCTGCTAAGATAAGGAACAACATAAGAATGTCTATTCTTGCCACTGCTATTAAGCATTGTACTGGAGGTTCTAGCTAGGAAAATTAGGCAAGGGAAGAAAAGCATCCAGATTGGAAAATATTTTAGATTTAGAGCTGCCATAACCTATTACTCACAAATTGGATGGTTTAGAACAACAAAAGAGGATTGTATTCTCTTCCAGTTCTGGAGACTTGAGTCAAAAATCCAGTTGTTTATAGGGCCATGCTCCCCATGAAAGCTCTCGGGAAGATGGTTCCCTTGCCTTTGACTAGCTTTTGGTGGCTCCCAGTAGCAGTTGGCATGCCTTGGCTTATAGTTGAATCACTTCAATCTCTGCCTTCATGGTTACATGGCTTTCTTTTCTGTGTGTATTTGTATTCTCTCTTCTTATTCTAAAGACTTTAGTCATTGACTTTAGAACCCACCTTAATTCATTATGATCTCATATTAACTAATTATATCTGTAAAAACTTTATTTCCATAAAAGGTCATATTCTGAAGTTCTGGGTAAACATGAATTTTAGAGGGACACCAGCCAAGCCATTATAAAAAAGAAATAAAACTATTTCTACCTGCAGATTACATAATCATGCCTGTAGAAAATCTTATGGGCTAGTCGCATTGGCTCACACCTGTGATCTCAATATTTAGGGAGGCTGAGGTAGGAGGACTGCTTGAGACCAAGTGTTTGAGACCAGCCTTGTCAACATAGTGAGGCCCCATTTCTATTCTCATAAAAAAGAAAAAAGAAAATCTTAAGGAATCTACTAGAATACTATTAGAGCTGATAAACAAGTTCAGACAAGTTGTGGGATACAAGATCAATATAGATACAAGATACAAGATCAATATAGAGGTCACGCGACAGGGTGAGACTTCATCTCAAAAGAAAAAAAGGTTGTTATAAAAATAGTCATTGTATTTTCTTTTCTCTACAGATTTCCCTTAATAAAGGGAAAAAAACCCTCTGCTTTGCAGGAAAAGTAAAAGAAGATGAGTTTTAACAGACTCCTTTCTGTAAAACTGAATGATGGAAAGTTCATGCCTATTCTGGGGTTTGGCACCTCTGTTGCTAGGAAGGTAACCATAATGGCATTGGGGATGGAGGAGTAGCAGGTGGTTCCTGATCAGAATTAGTCACTATGTGAGTTTGGGAAATTCAGGTGGGCCTCACTTTTCTCATTTTAAGACACTTCTCACCAAGTTAGCCCTTGGTGAGAAGTTAGCCCTTACTCACCACTTTGTGGATTAAGTAAAGGCTTTTCACGTTTTAGTAGTGATATAAACACTTCAGGATCTTGTTAAAAATGCAGATTTGGAGGCTCTATCCCTGAAGGTTCTGATTGAGTAGATCTTGGATGAGGCTGTAAAATTCACATTTATAATAAGCTCCCAAGCAATTTTGATGCTGCTTGTCCAAAACCACGCTTGGAGTGGCAGTCCGTCAAGAGAGATGGAAGTGTGCAAGCAATTGCTCAGAATTCAGGGGTGGGTAAGTCTGTGGCTGTTACTCTCTCTTGTTGTACAGTTGTAGCCATTTTCACAGTATATTAGAGGAAATAAAACACTATTGACATGATTACCATGTGCCAGAAACTTCACAGCAAACTTTAAAGTTGTGCTGTAATTTTTAGTACCCAAGTCCTCCCTGTTCACCACCAATAAGAGTATCTAGAGAAAGTTGTGTGGCAAAGGAACTTGGGGAAAGAGAGGCAGGCTTAGAGGTAGCTGTGTGGTCTAAGGTGGCCACGGTCTCTGAGAAGCCAGGTTGGTAAGACGGTGCCATCAAAGAGTTATGTAGTACTTGGAAAATTCTCTTCTCTTTGGCTCCATGCATGTTTCTGGATCAAACACTCCAGACCTACAAGGGCACATCTCAGTGGTTCCTGGTGAAGAATGTTATAAAAGTTGTAGGATTGTTTCCCAACACAAAAGAAACATGGTGTGTACCATTGAGGACTGCAAAGAAGACTCTCATGAAGTATTGCTTTTGCCATGCCTTGGCTCTTTAACCTGGGGATAGTTTATCTTTACGGACTCAGTTGACTCAACGGTAGATAGAAATGAAACAAATATACCCAAAAGGCATTATAATTACTGAGTGAGGTGTAGGGGGTGCTAATATAAACAGAAAAATTATGGATGACTTAAAGAGTCCAGGCTGGTGGGCCAGGAGAATAAAAAAATATAAGAAAGATGTGAAGGAGAAAGTGATGCCTAAGAACCAGCAAAGCAACCAAAAGAAGAATTAATTATGAGTTTTTTTAAGTGAAAAAAGTTTTTCTTTTAAAATAATTTTTTATTTTAAAAATAAAATAATTTATTTTAAAATATTTTAAAAGAAAATAGCTTATTTTATTTTAAAAGCTATTTCTTTAAAAATTTTCTTTTAAAATGATTTTTTAAAATGATTCCTATTTTTGTTCTTCCTCAAATGTTCTTTGTTTTTCCAAGTTTAGATAGGTAAATTAATAATTTATTGTGTCTAAAGTTATATCTTTATGCAGATAGATAATTATTAGCATTAAATTATTGGATCAAAACCAATTTCATAATCTCTTATAGAGCAAATTAAGTTAGGAATGTAAATCTATAGATTGTGCAAATCTATAGATCATATACATTCTATAAATACATAAATAGAGGTTTAAAGACTGTGACGTGCTCATGAGGACTCAAAAGAGTGTATTGTGAGCATCTTTGCCCAATTTGGCAAGCTTGAACTTATCCATGGTGGGAGTATTTACACTATTGAAACTGGCAAATACTACAAACCAGGACTTCCTCAGAGCTAGCTGTTAAACATTTACCATTGATTTTTACTCAACATTTAGCTTTGCCACCTGTAGCTCTTAGCCCTTAGTAGGGAAAAAAAAGGTTCTTTTGAATATCTCTGCTAAGAGAATTGATCATCTGTTCCTGAGTCAAACAAATCTTTATCTCTTTATGCTCTTCCAGGTTGCTATGAGTAATGTAGAAGAAGCCGTCCAGGTAGCAATTGATGTAGGCTACCGCCATATTGACTCAGCTTATACACACCTGAATGAAGAAGGCATCGGGCAGGCCATCCGAAAGAAGATTGCCAACGGCACTGTGAAGAGAAAAGATATATTCTATACCACAAAGGTGCTGTGTACCAATGCATCTGTTTCTGTGGAGAGCTCACTCTTAGCTGTAGAGCTCCTTGGCAAATTTCTCTTCATTAGTTTAATCTTCATTTACTCAGACCTTGCCTCATGAGAAGTCTGGTTAGGAATGTGGATTCTGTAATGGGACTTTAATATTTGAATCCAGGCTCTGCCACTTTCTAAATGTGTGACCTTCCCTAGTCTATAGCAAGTGTAAAAATAAATGAATATGTGCGACCTTGGACAAGCTACTAAAATACTATCCTTCAGTTTCCCAAGTTGTAAAATGGAGACAGTATTATTTATCTCACAGGATTTTCATGAGTGTTACACTTTTAAAAATACATATAAATCTTGCTGAAAAGTATTTGATACATTTCAGATGCTCAAAAATGCTGTTATTATTATCATATGTTTTAACTCAGAAATGATTTGACCCTTCCTACTCTACTATAGTCAAGTTTTGACAAACTGACTTAATCTTTCTTAGCTAAAGTATGAGGTAATGTGATTTAGTCAGAAAGTGTAGGCTTTGGAAACAGATGAACTAGGATCAAATTTTAGTTCTTGAATATTCCATTTGACTTGGTGAAATTTCTTAACCAAAAAACAAGTTTTTTAAACTCTCTAAGCCTTCATCGTGACATCTCAACCTATTTTGTGGTCAATAAATGTTTATTTCTCTGAAGATTAAGTTAATGTTTGTAAATGTACTTATGTATTTTTTAAACCCTTGAGCCATTTTCTTCTATTAATAATATTCTTCATATTCACTAGCGTCATATCTAAAACAAGTAAAAGAACTTAGGTGTTTAAGTCAGATAGGAAAAGGAACCCCAAAGCAATTTTTACCCTAGTGTTCACTGAACTGACTACTGCTAGAAAAAACAAAAAACAAAACAAAACAGAAAACATTTAAACGTGACGGGAAGTAGTCCACAGAGACAGCACTTAGGCCCATGCAAGTGAATCCCATGCAAGTTGATAAAAAAGTTTCCTCCTTCCAGCCCAGCATGTGACATTTGACTGCCTTTAGCTGTGCAGTAGCCTTCTCAGTCTCATCTTTTAACTCTCTTTTCGTACTAAATGTGTGACCCTTTGTACAAAACATCGTACGAAACATTGGTTTCCTTAGTTTTAGTCATTTTGATGATTTCTTCCCCTAGATTACTGCTGCTTAGAATGAGGTAACAGAAGCACCCCAAAAAGATTTCCCCTATGGCCATTCTTTGGGAAACCTAACCATTTAATACAGTCAAGCCAGAGCCTACTGAATCACCATCACTTCGGGCTCTTGTCTGGCAGGCAATTTCCCAGTCCACTCTCCAGATGTTGTGATTTATTACGTTTGGAGTAGAACCCAGGAATACGTTTTGCACAAGCAAATCAGATTATTCTTTTACATTCTAAAGTTTGAGAATCTCTGCTGAAACTCGTATTTTTTTCCTACATTTATCATCTTCATTCCATATGAAAATCTGCTATGATGATTAAGAACTTATGCATTCACTGGAAGTAACTTGTCACTTCTCTAAGAGGGTTTGGCTGCTGATGTTTATTTGCCATTTCACTAAGCTCTCTCGAAGACTTTTGAAGAAATAATCTCACACAACTTCTCTTTCAACCATTGCAGGTGTGGGGCACCTTTTCCCGCCCAGAATTGGTCCAAAGAGGCCTTGAAATGTCACTGAAGAAACTTCAGCTGAGCTACATGGATCTTTACCTTTTTCATTTCCCAGTACCTTTGCAGGTTAGCTCAAGTTGTTTTACTTTAGTGATCAACATAAATATTAGTAACTGAACGCAAGAGAGGAATCAGTTTGTGAGGATGAGAAGATAAATAATACTTTAAGATTCTCTCTTGTGCTTTTTATTTTTATTTTTCTGAAACTATTCCAAAGTCAGTTCACAACTCTAGCCCCAGAGTGACAGGAGTTCACTGGTATCCACAGCTTTGCCTCAGTGTTGTGGATGTACTGCCGACATTTTCAAGTTCTTATACCCTGGAGTCTCAAACCCATGTCGCTGACAGTGGAGTTCAGTTGACGAACAGGAAGTTCGGTGAGGACGACACTCAGCTTTGAATGCTGATAAGTCACTGGCAAGGGAGAGAGCTCTTTGCAAGGATCCAGGACCAGGGGACCTGCTGGGCATCATACCACCCTAGAGTCTGCCTAGGATGGGATCCTAGGTGCCTCAGCTTAGCCTTGACACAGACAAGATTTATTGAATCTGTAACGCTCGAAAGCATTTCTAGGACGCATATTTCCTGCATGTACTTCCTTTGCCGTTAGCCTAATTTTACAATTCTGTTCAAGAATAAGGACAGATGGTTCTATCAGTCTCAAGGTTTATGGGCCCCAAGCTTGGCTGAGGCCAGACAGAGCTTTGTGCAAACTCTCTTTCTTTCCATGTTCCAGCCTGGGAGGAGCTTTTGCTGACGGATGCACAGGGAAAGATCATGTTTGACACAGTGGGTCTCTGCAGCACATGGGAGGTGAGTGCAGCTCCAGTGAGCACAACATCTCTGCACCTTGTGGGGGAGAGGAAAAATGTACAAGGAATTCAGGAAACTGGACCTGGTCTAATTCTGCCCAGTGTTCAGACTGGGGAGAGTCCCGAATGTCTCTCTGCCTCTGTTTTCACATTTCATTCACTTAATCATCCAGCAAGTATGCATTGAGTGCCTACAGCGTATCAAGTTCTACTCTTCTTACCCAGGCAACATCAGTGAAGAGAACCAGGGTGCTGGCCCAGGCATGGATAGGTGCTGTGGTGGGTGGAGGTGAGAAATAAAGCTGAGCGCTGGAGTTGGTTTGGGGCACAGACTGGCAATGAAAAACAGAGTGGCAGGGTAGGCCTTTTTGAAAGCAGAGGCGGGTGAATCACGATATCAGGAGATCGAGACCATCCTGGCCAACATGGTGAAACCCCATCTCTACTAAAAATACAAAAATTAGCTGGGTGTGGTGGCGCACGCCTGTAATCGGGAAGCTGAGGCACGAGAATTGCTTGAACCCAGGAGGCGAAGGTTGCAGTGAGCAGAGATCGTGCCGCTGCACTCCAGCCTGGTGACAGAGTGAGACTTCATCTCAAAAAAAAAAAGAGTGACATTTGAGCAAAGACTTGTAGTAGACGCAGGAACTGATTGTGTGGGTATCTGGGGAGAGTGATGCACGCAGAAAGACAAGGCAAAGTTTTTCTTTTGTTTTTATTGTTTTAGATGGAGTCTCACTCTGTCACCCGGGCTGGAGTACAATGGTGTGATCTTGGCTCACTACAAGGTCTGCCTCCTGGGTTCATGCAATTCTCCTGCCCTCAGGCTCCTGAGTAGCTGGGGTTATAGGCACGTGTCACCACGCCCAGCTAATTTTTGTATTTTTGGTAGAGATAGGGTTTCACCATGTTGGCCAGGCTGGTCTAGAACCCCTGACCTCAGGTGATCCACCCGCCTCAGCCTCCCAAAGTGCTAGGATTACAGGTGTAAGCCACCATGCCAGGTCACAGCAACGTTTTTAAGAGGGGAGAGACACTAGCATGTCCAAGAACAGCAAGAGGACATGTGAGACTGGACACTGTGAGTGAGTGGACAGTGCAGGGAATTAGGTCAGAAAGTAGAAGCTGGTGGTTTTGTAGGTGGAAGGCCTGCCTCTCAGGCCACACCTGCTACACTTCCTTGTTGGTACTTGTTTTGCCATTGCTCCATCAAACTTTTCTAGGTATTCACTAAAGACCATGCTGGTTTCTTTAACTCTGTCCTGGCCACTCACATTCTTTTTTTCTTTTTTTTTTTTTTTTTGAGACAGAGTCTAGCTCTGTCGCCCAGGCTGGAGTGCAGTGCGACAATCTTGGGTCACTGCAACCTCCACCTTCCGGGTTCAAGAGATTCTCCTGCCTCAGCCTCCTGAGTAGCTGGGATTACAGGTGCCCGCCACCACACCCAGCTAATTTTTGTATTTTTAGTAAGGAGGGGGTGTCACTGCGTTGGCAAGGCTGGTCTCGAACTCCTGACCTCGTGATCCACCTGCCTCTGCCTCTCAAAGTGCTGGGATTATAGGCATGAGCCACCGTGCCCGGCCTCACATTCTTTTTTTATTTCATTTTTGTGCCCATTTATTTTACCTGTTTACTTTTCGTTTTTCTCTTACTCAGTCCATTCATGCCTTATTGATTGACATCTGCACTTTGCAAGGCTGTGTCTCTCCCACTGTCTTATACACTCTCCCACCCTTCGCCTACTCCTAGCGTGTGTACGTTTATTATTTGCCTCTAGCCTGCTATACAGATTACTCCTCACAACACCTTCCTCTCCAGGCCCTGGAGAAGTGTAAGGATGCAGGATTGGCCAAGTCCATCAGGGTGTCCAACTTCAACCGCAGGCAACTGGAAATGATCCTCAACAAGCCAGGGCTCAAGCACAAGCCTGTCTGCAACCAGATGAGCCCCAAACATCTGCCGCACCAACTGCTTCCTCTGCTCTTTGGCTTCCTCTATTCTCGATTTGACAAGGCTACTTATGACATGCTTCTCACATGTATTTTACCTTTGAACATCAGATGCTTCAAGGGAAGAGAACACATTCTGAGTTGTTGAAAACAGTGCATGAGGCCATGTCACTTTATCAAAAAAATCTAAGGTTTTTTTTTAAATACTAAGAGTATAATCTATTAGGTGTTATAGTAGTTTGTTCTAGAAGTTAGAGCTAGTGAATGACTGACAGCCACTTTTTCTTTTTTGACAGAGTTTTACTCCTGTTGCCAAGGCTGGAGTACAGTGGCACGATCTCGGCTCACTGCAACCTCCGCCTCCCAGGTTCAAGCATGTACCTCTGCCTCCCACATGGCTGGGAATACAGGTACCCGCCACCACGCCCAGCTAATTTTTTGTATTTTTAGTAGAGACAGGGTTTCAACATGTTGGCCAGGCTGGTCTCGATCACCTGACCTCAGGTGATCCACCCGCTTCGGCCTACCAAAGTGCTGAGATTACAGACATGAGCCACTGCGCCCGGCAGACAACCACTTCTTATAACAGAAAAGTTCAGCAAATTTGGAAAACAATTTCAAATCAATTTGTATGTAAAAGAAAATGAATGATTCATTTTTATGTCTGACAACTCCTTTAAGGGCTGTGCCATGAAATAACCATTGAGCCTCTCCAAAATACAAAATCTCTCCCAAACTTATAAAAGGGACTGTTTGGATTCAGACTAGTCTTTTAAAAACAGTCACTTTTCATAAGTTTGGGAGAAATTTGGATTACGTGAGGTTGCCTAACAATGTGAATGCACTGAATGTCACTAAACTAGGCACTTAAAAATCATTGAAATGATAAAGTTTAAGCATGAGATCATCAAAATCAGTTGTGTTGACCTCCTGATTGTGGTGGCTGTGATTATGCTATTAGGAGACTCTCCTTGTTTGTAGGAAATATACATTAAAATATTGAGAGATGATGGGACAACCTGTTAGCAACTTACTCTGTAATAATTCTGTCATTTAAACAAAAGTTATTCGAACTACTTGTAACAATTCTGTAAGTCTGAGAGTATTTTCAAAGAAAAAACTAAAAATCAATATCAAACTGAACCCCTTGATTTAAAAAAAAGGTAAAATTTATGTTATGGATGTTTAACCACAATAAAAAATATAAAGATGTTTTTAAAGTCTACTCAATAAGATAAAGCCACTTGAATGGGCAACATATAAACTGCAGTATCCTGGAGGATTGTGAAGGAAGTCACATGACTGTAGGAAGAACTGCCAATCTGTCCGTGCTGGGGAAGACTCACACTTCACCCAGGTGGTCATATCTCTGTGTAAACATCTTACATGCTGACTGAGTAAGGATGATTATCAATTTACAATTGAGTATTAGTAAATCTTCATTTATTTCATCTTTTTGGATAAAAAATACAAATAGGAGTTCTAAAAAGTTTTCTTTTGTGACCCTTAGGAGATTTACCTCCACTTTGGACATAATCAATTTAGAGAAATAAAAAAAAAGGTTTTGAGTTCAATAGTTGATGGAGACCCAAAGGGGAACTTGGACATTACCTTGAACTCTAAAGGGTGAAAGGAATTTGGCCAAGTGAAGGCTGATTGGCTGGGAGGGACTTTACATGGCCTAGGAAGCTTGAGTAGAAGTACAACTGGTTAATTATGTGCAGCAAACTGATCATAGTGAGAAATTAGCTCAGGTGAGGGGTTACAGGGTCCAGGTAGGTTTTAAGCCCTGAGTCTAATGAACTACCCTTCCTTCCCATTTAGTGTCCATGACTAAGCAAACACACATGCAACAGTTCCATAGAAAATTGGTGTGTGCCTGATGACTAACCCAGCCCCTGTAACCCAGTGCAGGACCTTGCCTGCAGGCTGCGTGGGAGAACATGCTTCAAGTGAACCTTAATGAGGTCTCTTGCTTTTCTTTGGATCTCTGTCGATTCCTCTTATCAAATCACTGGAGTCAGGGAACAAAGAGTAAGAAAAATATGCAGCGAAAAGTTCATTTACTAAACTTTTGGTTTCTGGGCTGGTGGATCACAAGCTGGAAAGTCATTACTCACGTCCTCAAATAATGTAAGCAATTCAACAGATGGAAAACTAACAATTAGACTCAACAGATAATTGAGGTCACAGGGCAAAATGCTGCCTCCAAAACTTGGAGGGATAGGCTGATAGAGACATGATCAGTGCCTTGCAGAAGCCAGGAAGCAAAAACCACAGCTGGGGCCAGTGCTGAGTAGGAAAACCTACACTGTTATTAATGAATTGCTGGGAGCTCAATGTGAACAAGTCTGAGAGAGAAAAGCTCCAGGGACATCCATTCTTATGGAGGCCTCCACGCTTTTGTGAATTTTACCTCTAGAGCCTACCAAGTTTTCTCAGTGAATACCAGAGAAAATTTCCCTCATGCTTCCGGCTGGAGGAGCCCAAAGCAGCCATGTTTTCCTAAAAGGGCCTGACCTCAGCAGAAGATATTTTACTAGAGCCTATGCCTGAGGTTTTACTTGAATCTAACCTGAGGGAAAAGAAATACTCAATTCCAGCTGAAAGAATCAATAAAATCTCCTGGAACTCATAAGTGATTATAGAAAGGTTGCAGTATATGAGGTTAATATACAAAAATCAATTGCTTTTCTATATGTCAGCAATGAAAAAGTGGCGTTTACAATTAAAAACACAATGCCATTTATATTAGCACCATACAAAGAAACATTTTGGTATAAATCTAACAAAGTGGGCTGGGTGCGATGGCTCATGCCTGTAATCCCAGCACTTAGGGAGACTGAGGCAGGCAGATCCCTTGAGGTCAGGAGTTCAAGACCAGCTTGGCCAACATGGTGAAACCCCATTTCTACTAAAACTACAAAAATTAGCTGAGCATAGTGGCACGTACTTATAATCCCAGCTACTCAGGAGGCTGAGGCAGGAGAATCGCTTGAACCCAGGAAGCAGAGGTTGCAGTGAGCAGAGATCATGCCACTGCACTCCAGCCTGGGCAATAGAGCAAGACTCTGTCTCAAAAAAACAAAACAAAACAAAAAACCAAAGTATGGACAAGATCTATATGAGGAAAACTTTAAAACGCTGAAGAAGAAATCAAAGAAGATTTAAATAAATGAAAAGACACTATATTTAAATGTGTAGGAAGATGCTATATGAAGGTGTAAGTTCTTTACAATTTGACCTATAGATTCAATGCAATCCCAATGAAATTACCAGTAAGTTATTTTTGGGAATACCAATGATCTAATCTTAAAGTTCACACTGAAAATTAAGAAACCAAGAATAGCCAAAACAATACTGAAGAACAAAGTCAGATAACTAAAACTACCCATCTTTAAGAGATACTATAAAGACAGTGTGGTATTGGTGAAAGAACAGACAAATAGATCAATGGGACAGAACAGAGAGATCCCAGAAATAGGCCCACACAGATACAGTCATCTGATCTTGACAAAGGAGCAAAGCAATTCAATGGAGAAAATAACCTTTTTGACAAATGATGCTGGAAATACTGGACATCCACATTCAAACATTTTAAAAAGGAATTAGACACAGACTTTCCATCCTTCATGAAAATTAACTCAAAATGGATCACAGACCTAAAGGTAAAATACAAAACTATAAAACTCCTAGAATATATAAATGAAAAACTAGAAAACCTTGGGTATGGTGATATAATACCAAGGGCATGATCCAAGAAAGAAAGAATGGATAAGCTGGATTTCATTAAAGTTAACAAATTCTGCTTTGTGAAAGACACTGCCAAGAGAATGAGGAGACAAACCATTTATGGGAGAAAATATTTGCAAAACATATATCTGATAAAAAATTGATTTCCAAATTATACAAAGAAATCTTAAGACTCAAGGTTAAGAAACCATAAGCAACCCAATGTAGAAATGAGCAAAAGATCTGAACAGTTTAACAAAGATATACAGATGGCAAATAATCCAATAAAGTTGCTAAACATCATGTATCACTAGACAATCATAAATTAATTACTGCACACTTATTAGAATGGGCAAACTCCAAAGCACTGACAACACCAACCACTGATGAGAATATAGGGAAACTGAAACTCTTCTTAATTGCTGGTGAAAATGATGTAGGATTTTTCTTTTTGGTCACTTTACAAGTCAAAGATCCCCAGCTGGTGATGCCCCACCTGGGCCTCACTCGGCCATGCTGGTGTGCCCTAGCTTGCCTATATTATAGCTTGTACCTGTGTTTGGTGGTTCTTGAGCTCTTGTACCGCACCCAAGAAGAATGAGAATATGCTGGACATTGAAGGGTGTGGAGGGAGGAGAAGAATTTCATTAAGCGAGGAAAATGGCTTTCAGCAGAGATGGGATGCAGTGTTGTTCCCCCTACCCAAAGGCAGGAAAGTCCTCCCATGTGGTTGGGTCTGGGGCTTTTATGGACTCAGAAGGGGGAGTGCATGCTGATTGGTTTGTGAGTATGCAAAAAAGGTTAAAGTGAAGATACCACTCAAAGGTGGACATGACAGTGTAGAAAACCAATTAGGAAAGGCTAGGTATATGTAAAATAGGTGAAGGATGGGATCAATCACAGGAAAGTGCGACAAACAGGAAGACAAATTCTCAATCTGGTTTGAGGATTTAACTTGTAGTTTGGCTTTCAAGCTTTAAACTGTGCTGGGGTTGGAGGTGGGGTTTCACTGAGGACTCACCCCTATCTGCCTAGGCATTTGGCTGCATCCTGCCACTCTCAAAAATACAAAATGATACAGCCACTTTGGAAGACAGTTTGGCAATTTCTTACAAAACTATGCATACTCTCACCACATGATCCAGCAGTCAGCAGTCATGCTTTCTGACATTTGCCTAAATGAGTTGAAAACATATACCCACACATAAACCTGCCCAAGGATGCTTATAGCAGATTTATTCATCGTTGCCAAAACTTTGAAGCAACCAATCTGTCCTTCAGCAGGTAAATGGATAAGCTGTGCTACATCCAAACAATGGAATATTATTCAGCATGAAAAACAAATGGAGCTATCAAGCCATAGAGAAACCTTAAATACACATTACTAAGTAAAAGAAGCCAATCTAGAAAGGCTACATACTATCTAATCCAAACTCTGTAACATTCTGGAAAATGCAAAACAATGGATACAGTAAAAAGATCAGTGGTTGTCAGGTCAGGGGTTGGGGGAGAAATGGATGAGTAGGTGGAGCACAGGGGATTTTTAGGGGTGTGTAATTATTATTTCATAGACTCTGTAACGGTGATTATCCATTTGTCAAGACCCGTAGAACGTTACCACAAATAATATTCCCTAATGTAAACTATGGACTTTACTTAATAATAATGTATCAATATTGGCTGGCCAATTATAAGAAATATACCACATTATTGTAAGATAATAATTGGGGCGATTGGGGAGAGAGGTATGGAGGTATATATGAGAACTCTGCATTTTTTTTCTCATTTTTTTCTGTAAACCTAAAACTGCTCAAAATAAAAGATCAGTGGATTCCAGGGACTCAGGGAGAGGGAAGGAGGAATGAATAGGTAAAATACAGAGGTTTTAGGGCAGTGAAACCATATTGTATGATCTAGTAGTGGTGGATACATATTGCAATGGTTAATATTGAGTGTCAACCTGACTGGATTATAGGATGCAAAGTATTGTTTCTGGGTGTGTCTGTGAGGGTGTTGCCAAGGGAGATTAACACTTGAGTCAATGGACTGGGAAAGGCAGACCCCCCCTCAATCTGAGTGGGCACCATCTAATCAGCTGCCAGCATGCCCAGAACAAAAGCAGGCAGAGAAAAATGGAAGGACTAGAATGTGCTGAGTCTTCTGGCCTCCATCCTTCTCATGTGCTGGATGCTTCCTGGTGTCAAACATCAGACTCCAGGTTCTTCAGCTTTGGGACTCTTGGACCTATACCAGTGGGTTGTCAGGGGTTCTCAGGCCTTCGGCCACAGACTGAAGGCTGCACTATCGGCTTCCCTACTTTTGAGTTTTTGGGACTCAGACTGGCTTCCTTGCTTCTCAGCTTGCAGACGGCCTATTGTGGGACTTCACCTTGTGATCGTGTGAGTCAATGCTCCTTAATAAGTTCCCCTTACATATACATCTATCCTATGAGTTCTGTCCCTCTAGAGAACCCTGACTAATACACATGACATACATTTGTCAAAACCCATAGAATGTACAATGGAGAGTGAACCCTGTGATAATGTATCAATATTGGTTCATCAATTGTAGCAAATGTTTCACACTAATACAACTTAAATAAGAGGAGAGAGTAGGGGTAAGGGTGGGTGGGAGAGGTGATATGGTGAACTCTGTGCTTTCCTATCAATGTTTCTCTTAACTTAAAACTGCTCTAAAAATTGTCTGCTAATTGTATTTTTTAAAGTACACTTGCCCCTTTTGTCTAGTGCTGAGCTGGTCCCTAGACTACCCATCCCATGGTGAAGGCAATGGTCTTGGCTCACATGTCACCCAGACAAGGGAGCAGAAAAAAATGGTTAAAATTCAGTGATGGATCCTGGTTTCTGACTTTCCATGTGCATGGAAGTGAGAAAAATGGAAACGTGGGATTATAGTGCCACTAAATACCTTCTGCAGCACAGAAACCTCTCTCACTAGTAATGTGTAAATGTAATAACACCAGTAACTTTTTTTCTGACTGAAAACAAGTAGCAATTTATTTCCCCTTGATGATAAAAGGGCCAGAAGCCTTTCCAAATCCCTTTCCCCATGGGACAAGATTGGAGCTTCGGGAAGTGTATGGGCACCATAAGTCTGAGTGGGGCCATTTGTTGGGGGAGGTAAGGAGCAAACAAAGATGTCACAATGTCCTGTGCTAGGAAAGAGGAAAACATTCTCATTCCTGCAGCCAAGGAATAACCTGATGAAAAACTGTTTCAAATTGGAGTGATGACTTCTTTGGAGAAATGCTTATGCAAGTTTTTTTTCCCCCATTTTTCAACTGGGTTATTTGTTTGTTTTTTTGCTATTGCATTGTAGATTTTTACATAGTTTAGATATTAACCCCTTATACCTGTTATTAACAGTATGCATACTTTAAAATATGTTTAAGATAGTTGATCTCATGTCAAGTGTTCTTGCAAAAAAAAAAAAATCCAAAAACTAAAACCAAAACCACACACAAAAGGACATAAGAAAATGTTTGGAGGTGATGGGCATGTTTAATGCATCGTTTGCAGTGATGGTATCACAGGTATATGCACATGCCCAAATCCATCCAGATGTATCCATTAAGTGTGTGCATGTTTTCATATAACAATTATACATTCATAAAGCCAAAAAATGTTGAGGGATGATTTATTGGCTATCAGGGGTTGCAGCAATGAACAAAATGGGAATACTCCTTAAAAATAAAGAATACTGAGATTAAATAACTAAGAAAGGCAGAAATTGCTGCTTGCTATACGTCAACAATAAATGAGCAAGAACCAAAGATGTCACCATGGTTTTCAGTCTGGAAGACTGAAATTCTCTTTTGGCCTTGTGCACAACCTGCCATCTAAGAGCACTGAGTTAATTATTTAATCAATACTGCTATGCCCTCCATGGGCTGTCATCCCAAGTAAAGCCCTTGGGAGCTTCATGCATACAGCTGTGGATGACAATCATGGCTTGGCCTGTGTTGCTGGTATTCTAAAAGATGTCTGATACCATGCAATGCAGCACTGCATGTCCCTGGTAAGCTTGGTGTTGGTGGTTCTGTAACCTAATTCTCCTGCTTGGCATTCTGCAGGTGGAATATCACCCTTACCTCAACCAAAGCAAACTCCTGGAGTACTGTAAGTCCAAGGACATTGTCATGACTGCATATTCTGCCTTGGGGTCTGACTCAGACAAAGACTGGTAATCATCTTCATAAAGTTATTTTGTTTATTTTTTTTAGGTGGGGGTCTCATTCTGTCATCCAGGCTGGAGTGCAGGGGCACAATCACAGCTTGTTGCAGGCTTGACCTTCCAGGCTCAAGTCAGGATCTTCCCTCCTAGACCTCCTAAGTAGCTGGGACTACAGGAGTGCACCACCATGCCTGGCTAATTGTTTATTTTCATTTTTGTAGAGACAGGGTCTCACTACGTTACCCAAGCCAGTCTTGAATTCCTGGGCTCAAGTGATCCTCCCACCTTGGCCTCCCAAAGTGCTGGGATTAGAGGTGTAAGCCACGGTGACTGGCCTATAAAGTTATTTTAATCATAGATACTGTACCTTCCGAAGTAATCTCTCAATCAGCTGGCAAAATTAAAAATAGACAGCAGGAATAAATTCATCTGTAAACCTTTTACCTAACCCAGACCTACATTATAAGAACTAAATAGAACTGCCACCTTCCATTCCTTTGTCCTTCTTTGGTTATAACAAAAGATGCAAAACAGATATTGAGACAGCCAGAAGGTAATGAGGAAGGTTCTGGAGGATTAGCATCCCTGGCCAAAATAAGCAGCCCGCAAGTAAAATGGATATTCAGCCTCAGACTTGCAGCACCTCTGCCTCTCCTCTCAGGGTGAAAAAAGGAAACCCAGTTCTCCAGGAGGATCCAATACTCAATGCCATTGCTGAAAAGCCCAGGCGAACTCCAGCCCAGGTTGCCTTGTGCTACCAGCTGCAGCGCGGGGTGGTGGTCCTGGTGAAGAGCTTCAATGAGAAGAGAATCAAAGAAAACTTCCAGGTACAGGGCATGGTGGTGGCAGCAGGGGATTGACAGAGGCACATCATTTCCCCACGGTATCTGAGTTTTTGCAAAGCTCTCAAGGTATATTTGGGCAAAGCTTATCTCCTTTTACATTCTATGCATATAAGCATATAAGCACCATATTTAATTGCTTTGTCTCCCCTTGCTGCAAGGGAGAGTGTGATGGTTGGAAAGGACACTAAAGAGAAGGTCAGGAGAGGGTCCTAATCCGGGTTTTTCCCCTATAGTATGGCGCTGGGTAAGTCATCCCTTGATTTCTATAGCTGTAAAATAAAGGAATTAGATCACGTGAGGTTTGGGCTTAAAATTCTCTAGGATTTCTTTGCTATCATGATGGCTCCCCAATAAAAGTATCTGAGGGAAGATTAACCATGCCAATCTCAACTTTATAAATGGACAAATTCCCATGACATGCCACTGAATGAATCCTTGGTCCATGAAAACTCACTCATAAAACCTACACAAAGTCCTACATGGATTTGTCTGTTTGTGGAGAGGGGAGAAGAGGAACAGCAATTGCCTCAAGGATATTAAATTGATCTTCTCACGTTTCTGACAGGTTTTTGACTTCTAGCTGACACCAGAGGACATGAAAACCACAGATGGCTTGAACAAGAATATATGCCATTTGTAAATGTCTATGTAAGTAGCTTGTTTCGTTGTTGACACTAGGGAGCAGGACAGTGGGGGAATTCCATTGATTTCAGCCCACAGAAGGCAGGGTTTGTTGCTTAGGAAAGTTGTTGGAAAACATTTTTTCTTCAGACTTCATATCAGACATTTTTTTTTCTCCAAGGCTCATAGCTCTGCCCAGACAAGAGTGTGAGCAGAACTCAATAGAGACGGAAGCTCCCCGTTTAAGACTGGGCTCTCCTGGCTCCACACTGCCTCTGTGTGTCCCTCATCACTAGGCTTCCCTCCAATCTACATGCTAATAATTCCATGGTTTCTATCTCTAACCTAGACATTTTTCTTGGTCTCTTGTAGCCCACTGATTTTCTTTTAAATTAAAATTCCCTAGAGATAGTTCTATTTATTCCCACAGTTCAAACTTAATACACTTAAAATTAAAGCCTTCAATGTTTTCTCTATATATACTCTTCATGGTAATACTACACACATCACCATTATGGCACAAACCTCATCCCCTACATCTAAATAACCACCTAGTCCTGTTGATTCTATATTTCAACATTTCTCATGTTGATTCTAAATTTCAACATTTCTCATGTTTCTCTAATTTCCATCACAAAGCCCACCCCCTCTGATTCAGGTTTTGAACCTGAATCAGCTCTCTTGCAAGGCTGGCCACAGGGGTGGATCTTCAGCTGTGGTTTCTGAACAATGTTCAGAACTTTGCTCAGGTCTGGGGGGGTTTTCAATAGTAAAGAGTAAGCAGGTTCGGAAAATCAAGAAGGAAAAAGGGAACAGGCTGAGTATCAAGCAAATGGAGGTGATAATGAAAATCCAATGGCAGGAAAAAAGTTATTTCCAAAGATAGACTTTTAATGGCCCTTCAAACTTTTAGACTCTATGATTCTCAGAAGGCTGTAGAGAAAAATCTGTAAGCTATTTTTTTTTCTGTTCAGTGACATTTAGTACATATATGTATGTAAACATCTCCAAACACGGGAAGAGCAAGCAATCCAGTAGCTCCTGGACAGACTCCCATCCTCCCCTGCCAACCAGCCCCTTAACTCCCTTGAGGCTAACATGGTCTTTGTCACTGTTAGTTCAGTCACTACAGGAGCCTAAAATTCCTGGTTCCCAAATAGCTCTGTGTACACCACCTCAACATGTTTTCACTGTGCTTTCTGAAACTCCTACTCAACCACTGGCAAAACCGTTTTATCTTTGTTGTCTTCTCTAAATGTTCTTTTCACCTTTTCCCAATAGCTGAAACCCCATTTCTCTTGGTAGCACTGATTCCTGTCAGCCCTCTCCAGTTGGGGCTGTTATCCTTCCCAAGACCTTAGTAGTGCTAAGCCTGAATATTGAGTAGGAACTCTCTTTCTAAAAGCATTCAGCTCTGGACTTTGTGTCATCAGACAAACCCAGCACTACCCCTGTCCTTTGCAGTCATCAGGGCTGCATTCCCAGGTCTTCTCTCATCCACCGAAGATTTTAGTTCCTAGTTTTCATCCTCTCCAACAGTAGACCTGCCATAATTTCTTTTGATTTCAACACTACAGAGACAGTCCTTGTAATAGTCTGATCTTTCAGTTTTGTGACTTTCCTCTTCCAATGTGTTTATCCTTCAGTCTAACTCAGCCTATCAACCTAATGGTCTCATTCTAGACCTTGTCATTACGAGTTACTATAACCATGCCTGGATGTCAATTTTAAATTCTTACACTATAGTCATCACCTCCTACATGTCCCGCTCCTTCTCTACATGGCCAACTTCAACAATCCTTTGATTACCACATGAGCTATAATTCACTGACCGTACCACCTTTTCACTGTTACTTGACCCTCTAATGTGCCCTCTGTCCTTCTTTGCCTACTTAAATTATGGGGTCAATCAATATACCAACATCCTTGTAAATACCCTCAACCCTTGCCATTTCTTCTAATGTTCTTTGCTGGTTTCTCTGCATTAGCTTGACCTCTCAGTTTTGGAGTGACTTAGAGCTCAACCTAGACCTCTTCTCCTTTCTCTATCTACTTTAACATCATTGTTGATTTCATCTAGTCTCATGCTTCAAATATCATCTAAATATAGATTCCCCAAATCATATCCAGCCCAGTTCAAGGCTCTGGAGCAAGGTTTGTATATGTGTCTACTTGCCTCTACTTGGATATCTACTATGCATCTCCAACTTATCATGTCTGTAACTGGGCTCATACTGGTATCTGCAATCCCTTCCCCAATACACACAGACACACAGACACACACACACACACACACACACACACACACACACCCCACACTCATACCGATATCTTTATGATAAAGTAACTGGCTCCTGGTAGTGCTCCCTCTTCTGTACTTCAGCACCAGGCATAGTAGCCACAGTGAACAGGTTAAAAAGGGTGTACACAGGAACTCCTCAATATGTGGGAGACTGCCATCTCACTCAGAGTTGAGACCAAATTCCTTACACAGACCTACAAGGGCCAATAGACACTCCCTCCCTTAACTCTCTGTGTCCCTGTCCTGCTATTCTCCCCACTCTTGACTCCAATGGAGCACCAGTGACCTCCATGCTGTTCCTGACTGTATTAGTCCATTTTCACACTGCTGATAAAGACATACTCAAGACTGGGTAATTTACAAAAGAAGAGAGGTTTAATGGACTTACAGTTCCAAGTGTCTGGGGAAGCCTCACAATCATGACAGAAGGCAAGGAGAAACAAGTCGCGTCTTACATGGATGGCAGCAGGCAAAAAGAGAGCCTGTGTAGAGAAACTCCTGTTGTTAAAACCATCAGATCTCGTGAGACTCATTCACTATCACAAGAACAGCGCAGGAAAAACCCACCCTCATAATTCAACCACCTCCCACTGGGTTCCTCCGACGACACATGGGAATTGTGGGAGTTACAATTCAAGATGAGATTTGGGTGGGGACACAGCCAAACCACATCACTGACATATGTCAGGCCTGTCTTAGGGCCTTTCCACTGGCCATTCCCCCTGCCTAGAAATCTCTTTCCCCATAGAGCAGGATTGCTCACTCCTTTACATCCTTCAGGTCTTCACTCATATATCACTCGATGATGCCTTCTCTGTCACTTATCTAAAAATGCAACTCGTCCTAGAAGAGCCTTTCTCTCTATTCTGATTTATTTTTGTGCTTGACACATATCCCTAACTTACACACCATATATTTTACTAGTTTATTTAGCTTATTTTATCTTTACCACATTAGAGTGTTAGATTCTAAGGGCAGGGTTTTTGTTTTGTTTTTGTTCTTAAACTAGTCTCTCCCTGGGTACTCAATACATATTGGTTGAATAAATAACATAATAAAATGAGAAACAGGGTAGGGGTAACAGAGAGTGGAGATGCAGGCAGGAACCCCTAACAATAAATATCAGTAATATTAATCAACAATAACTATTCAATGACTTGGCATTTTCTATGTCAAAAATTATTACTTCATATACAGAAAGAATTTGTATCCCCCTTGCTAAAATGGAACTACCCCATTGAAGTGACTTCATCTTCTAACCACTGTATCTCTCTCTAGGTATAATATAAAATTTTCTCCCAAGAAAAGTCATAGACAAATCATTTCTGAATGTTTGACATACATTGAACAGTAATAATTTTATCACCTTCCTCATTATCACCTTAAAATATTTATTAACTTTATATATTAAATCAGACTAAGCATTGTTTTAAAAAAGAGAGAATTTGTTTCTGCCCTCCTGGAGGTTCAAAATATAAACACAAATAGTTTATCTCCTCAAGCTGTAGAATGACATATTGCAAAAATGGAATGCACTGGTATATTTGTGAATGTGTGCCCACGTGTGTAGGTATATTTATTTTCCACAGTGTATTCAAAACAGCATCATGCAATAGTATGTTATTATCATAAAACTAGTTGGGTTTGTACTTAACTCACAAAGAAAACTGTGTTAATTGTAGGCTCACACCAGTTTAACAGAAATCTGTCTTTATGAGCCCAGAAACAATGACTAAGACTTTCCCTTTCCTTTTCAGCTTTTCTCATCACCCAGATTATCCATTTCTTGATGAATATAAAGAAAAGAGTCTGTGGTTGTTCCAGAGTTTATTGATTTGGGTTGAGATGAATAGAGAATATCTCATGGATGGGAAGTTTTCTAGTTTATTCCAGATTGATTAGCCTGCTCAGTCACAAGTTGGCCTAAGACCCCGGATCAGAAAATAAAAGTATCTAAACCTAGTTTTCTCTTGATTCCCGCCCCCACCCCACCCCCACAACTGCCAAAATAAAGATGTATTTGAAATAACCTAATCTGCTGCAGCCTTGGCATTTGCTTTTTTGTTTCTTTCCCATCTCACTGAGGCTAAAATGCTGACATCCCTGGAAGGGGTGATCACAATGGATGTGAATCTCTCAAAAAAATGCTAATAATTTGGTATACCTTCAAATTTGCAAAATCTACATTTTTTACTTGTTTGTAGTTCTTGAGCATTTTTTCTTTTCTGTGAATTATCCACACTATACAAATATATTAGATATTATAAATGAATGTAAAACTTAATATATAACACCCAAAATGTCCAGGTTTTAATTTTAAAAGTTACTTATCATACCAAGAACAAGGATGGTCTCAAGTTGAATAAATAAAGATAAGCAACAGATGGTACACCCAGATGATCAAGATATTATAATTATCTGACCAAGATTTTAAAGCAACCATTGTAAAAATGTTTCAACAAACAATTATAAACACACTTGCAACAAATGAAAAAACAAAAAGTTTCAATAAAAAATTAGAAAGTTTTAGAAAAGAAATAGAAGATAAATGAATAACCAGATTTGGAAATTTTAGAACTGAAAAACACAATACACAAAATTAAAATTTTAATCAATGGAATCAATAGCATAACATAAGAAATAGAGGAGATAATTATTGATCTGGAAGATAAAGCAATATAAATCATCCAAGAGGAGCAACAGGGAGAAAAGAGACAGAAGAAAAGGAACAGAGCTTCAAGGACTTGTAGAACTATAACAAAAGACTTAACGTTCATGCCATCAAATCCTGAAAAGAAAGGAAGCAAAGGGTGGGCTGGAAAAGTGCTTAGAGAAATAATGGCTACTTTAATTGCTGAAAGCTTTTCAAATTTAGAAATACACATAAACCTACAGAGTAAGAAGATAAGTGATCTTCAAACAATATAAACCAAAAGAAATGCACACCAAGACACATCATAATTAAATGCATGAAAACTAAAAGAAAAGCTTGTGAAAAAGCAAGAGAAAAATGTCACCTAACCTATAGAAAAAAAAAAGAATTCAAATAATTGTGAGTTTATCATCAAACAACCATGGAGGCAAGTAACAATAATTTTCAAATGCTGAAAGAAAATAATTTTCAATCCAGAATCTTGTATCCAGCAAAAATATCTTTCAAAATAAAAGAGACATCAAGGCATTTGCAGAAGGTAAAATAAAAGATTTTTTTTCCAGAAGACCTAACCTAAAATAACGGCTAAAGTAAGTTCTCTAAACAGAAAGAAAATGGAAAAAAAATAGAACCTTGTAACATCAGGAAGAAAAAAATAACAAATATGCAAGCAAAAATATGGGTAAACGCAGTAGATTGTTCTTGCCCTCTTGAGTTTTCTAAATGATGTTTGGCAATTGAAACAAAAACTAAATGTCTTATATGGTTTTAAATGGATGTGGTAGAAATATGTAATGAAATTCTATTATAAATGGGGGAGGGTAAAGGAACATGAAGGGAGGTAAGGATTTTGTACTTCTTTCAAAGTGATAAGATAATGACACCAATACACTGTGATAATTGTGTGTATGTAATGTAATACCAATAGCAACCAATGCTATACAAAGAGAAACACCAAAAAATGCTATGTATTAATCAAATTGCATCCAACAGGATCTAACTGGGATTTATAGAACATTCTACCTAACAATAGCACAAAACAGATTCTTTTCAAATTCCCAAATCACATAATCAAGCAGACCATATTCTGGCCATAAAACAAACCACAACATATAGAAAATAACCAAAATTATAAAAACCTGAACAAATAGAAATTAATTGAAATTATACGGAGTATGTTATCCAACGAAAAATGAATCAAATTAGAAACCAAAAACAGAACAGTAACATGAAAGTCACCAAACTCTTGGAAATTAAACAACACACTCCTAAATAATCCACAGGTAAAACAGGAAGTCTTGAGCGAAATAAAAAAGTACATTGAACTGAATGAAAATAAAAACGCAACATATCAAATTGTGTAGAACACAGCTAAAGTAGTGCCAAGAGGAGGGTTTATAGAAAAAAGGGGAAAAGTCTTAAATCAACTATCTAAGCTCTTATCTCAAGAACCTAGAAAAGGTAGAGCAAAATAACCCAAAGCAAGCAGAACTATGGAAATAATAAATAGAGGAGCTGAAATCAATGAAATTGAAAAGAAAAAAACAGAGAAAAAAAATGAAGCAAAGAATTGGTTGTTTGAAAAGATAAAGTTCAAGCAAGCTTCTAGCAAGACTGACATAAAAAAAGAGAGAAGATATAGACTACCAACATAAGGAATGCAACAGGGAATTATGCTATAGATCCTGTAGAAATAAACAGGATGGTAATGGGGTACTACAAACAACTCCACACATACACTTCACAAGTTATATAATGGACCAATTCCCCTGAAAAATACCCAAGCTACCACAACTCACCCAACATAAAATAGATCATTTGAATAGCCCTATTACTAAATTGAGTTTATAATTTTAAAACTCCCAAATAGAAGTCTCCATGTCCAATTTCACTGGGGATTGCTTATAAATGTTTATAGAAGAATTAACACCAATTCTATACAATCGCTTCAGAAAACAAAAGAGGAGGGAACACTTCCCAGTTCATTTTACAGAGCTAGCATTACCCCAATATGAAAATGAGACAAAAACGGAAAGGAAGAAAGAAATAAAACTAAGAACAATATCTCTCAAAAATATAGATGTGAACATCCTCAACAAAATATTAGCAAATAGAATTTAAAAAAATATAAAAAGAATTATACACAAAAACCAAGTATAGCTTATATCAAGGATACAGGGCTGGTTCAATGTTCAAAAATCAGTTAATATAATCCATCATACTAAAAAACTAAAGAAGAAAGTCACATGATCATATCAATTGATGCAGTGAAAGCATTTGACAAAATTTAACATCCATCCATAATTAAAACTTTCAGAAAATAGGACTACAGGATAACTTTCTAAACTTGATAAAGAACATCTGCAATAACCTACAGCTAAGCTGAATTCTTTGTCCCTAAGACTGGGAAAAAAGCAAGGATGTCCACTCTCAGCACTCTTTTTAAACACAGTGCTAAAAGTTTTAGCCAATACAGTAAGACAAGAAAAGTAGATAAAAGGCATACATATCACAAGAAAGAAAACTGTTTCCATTTGCAGGTGACGTGATTGACTACATAGAAAATTCCACGGGCTTATGTCAGCAAGATAACTGACTAGAGGTTCCTACACTTCTCCCCACCCACAAAAACAGACCAAAGCGATGAAGAAACAACTACATTTTGACCAGAGCAACTAAAGGAGAGCTGTAGAGTCTTTAGATAATGGATGAGAGAAACTCTGTGGAGCAAAGAGACTCAGGATGGCCATATAGAGAAAGGAATAAAACACGCTGCCTCTGCCACTCTGTCATCCAGTCAGGATCAGCTCAGAACCAGGAAGAACTTCTCTCTGTGGGAAAAAAGTAAGCAACAGGAACCCAGAAGCTGGCATTGCCACCACAGACTGCTGTAGTCTTTGATAGTGGAGAATCTTACAGTATTTACAGGCCTGACCCCAGTTTAGGAAGCTGCCTGGAGTTTATACAGCTGCATTACTCCATAGAAAGAGCCCACATTATTTCCCAAACCCCCAACGATCCAGTCTCCTACTAAGCTGCACCATCTTAAAACTGGAGCCATTATTAGAGTGTGCCTGCTCTGGGGGCAGTATATATATCACAGTGAGGTTTCAAGAGTCACCAAAATAGGAAAGCTGCAAACTTGAAATGCTCCAAGGTTTTCGTTACAAAGATAAGAAAGACGGACCCTGAGGACGCTGCCTCTCGCTTTGACAAAGCCCAGACAATGAGTCACATCAAGTAACACATGGCTTGGAAAAGGAAGGAAAAACACTGGAAGGCCAACGCTGTTCTTATCACTGCTACACAGAGCTGAAAGCAATGTTAGAACTGTGGGTTAAAAAGAAACTAGTCAAGTTCTTCAACGGATGAATGGCGTTATCTTTGCCATGCAATCCTACTCAGCAATGAAAATAAACTGACTATTGGCACATCCAACACCTTGGCTGAATGGCAAGGTAATTGTGGTGACAGAGGAATGCCAGTCCAAAAAAGTTACATAGTGTGTAATTCCACTTATACTGAATTTGTAAAATAACAAAATTATAGGAATGAAGAACATACTAGTTGCCAGGGGTTAAGGAGGCAGCAGAGGCAGAAGACAGCTGAATGCAATTAGAAAATGGTGACAGGGAGGGCCCTCATGGTGACGGAAATGTTTTGTACCTTGACTGTGGAGATGGAAACGTGAATGTGTGAAAAATTGTACAACAGTGAACACACACACAGACACCAAGGAATGCAACCAAAACTGGAGAAGTCTAAGACAATATCAATATCAGTATCTTGGTTGTGAATCCACCTTTGCAAAATTATGACTGAGACAGTGAAAGAGATCTAACTTAACTGACTCCATCTTGCTTCTAACCTCCAAGTTGTCCTTGTTCATTCCTGATGGTAGGTTGAACTAACTTTGGGAGTAACTTAGTTTATAGTTTAAACAAAGATGGTAACAGCCCTTTCCCACAGCAGACCTCCTTCTTGCCTGGGGACTAGATTTGCCTTTGTAGGATTAACATTAGCCACAAGATTAGAAATTATGGTTGAGGAGTCATGCAGCTGGAGGCTACAAGATTCTGACCCTCCGTAAACTGCTCCTAAGTGCCTGGGTATTTTGCAGATCCTGCACTTGATGGATCAGCCGGCCCCACTCAGATCAGTAAACTGACTCATCTGATATTGTGGCCCCCACCCAGGAAATGACCGAGCACAAGAAGGCAGCTTTGACTCCCTGTGATTTCATCTCTAACTACTCAGCACTCCTGGCTCACTGGCTTCCCCCCACCCGCCAAGTTATCCTTAAAATCTCTGCTCCCGGAGCCTGCAGTGAGCCGAGATGGCGCCACTGCACTCCAGCCTGGGCGACAGCGAGACTCCATCTCAAAAAAAAAAAAAAACAAAAACAAAAACAAAACTCTGCTCCCTGAATGCTCCGAGAGACTGATTTGAGTAATAATAAAACACCGGTCTCCTGCACAGCTGGCTCTGCGTGAATTACTCATTCTCTATTGCAATTTCCCTGTCTTGATGAATTGGCTCTGCCTAGGCAGCAAGCAAGGTGAACCCCTTGGGCAGCTACATTTGTGATAACTTACTATATAGGTTTGCAAGATGGTAATATTCAGGGAATCTGAATAAAGGGCAGACTCTGAATTATTTTTTGCAACTTCCTGTGTATCTATAATCATCTCAAAATGCAGTTTAATTTAAAAGAAAACCAGAAAACTGGTTCCAGTGCTACGCGTCCTCTCTTTGGATTCTTTTCTAGTCCACCGTCAAAAGAATGTGGATGTGGCTCTAGATTTAACCCCTCCTACCTTTTATTATGTAATTCAAACATAAAATCTGTCTCAGAGCACAGGAAGGAGGAAGTGGAAATGATAAAGAGGATCACTTTGCTGAAATATAATCAGACCTATTTAGCCTGGACAGTGAAAAACAATGGCCCAATATACATGCTGTTCTCTGAAACTGAATGACAGAAACTTCACGTCTGTCCTGGGATTTGGTACTGCTAGTTACAAAACAGTAAGAATTCAGTAAGTTTGAGAGAGAAGGAGATTGACCAAAAGAACCCTAGGGGAAAACAATCCTTTCTAGAAATTGTTTTCAACATAAAATTTAAATTTTCCCCCAGAATTCCAAATGAATAATGATGAATACAATTTTTCTTTAGCAACATAACTCTCTAACTTGAGCATGTGGTGGCAACGGTTGGGTTGGGGTGGACTCTTTTTGTTAAGCTTCAGTAATTAAAGGCTCAAGTCCTACCAATTTATAATTATGCACATTTTTAAAGATTTTGAAACTTAATACCGATTATCTCTAGGAGACCTATATAAATTTATAGTCCTACCAAAAGTCACTGAAAGGGCTATTTTTCCACAAACTTAATATGTATTGAGGGATTTTCTTTTTCTTCACTTGTCAATGTTTTACTTTTGCTAGTTTGAGTGGGGAAAAGGGAAATTCATTGTCAGATTCACTTTTATTTCAATTATCATTAATTTGCTTACTGGCTTTTGGAATTTTCTTCTTCTGAAAATTACCTGTTCATTTACTTTATGGCCCAGGTTCAAATGCTAGCTTCAATGTTTACTATCTATTATAATCTTTGACAAATTACTTGACTTCTACCTGTCTTCTAAAATTTGTTATTGGTATCAACAGTACCCAGTGCAAAGGATTATTCTGAGGAATAAATATAGAGTACAGGGTACTAACTATAATCAATAATTGTTAGTTACTAGTATCACTCCAATACCATCTTTTTAAATTTTTCATTTTCTTAATGATTTAAAAGATCTGTTTTACGTATTATTTTTGTTTTGTCTTTTAAATGAGATAGAAGTGTTTTTCTTGCAGTATGGTTATTTGACTTTTAATTTGTTTAATGTGAAGTTTGGACATATCTGTTTTTAATGTGTTAGAGAGTAACTTTATTCACCCTTTTTACACCCCATCGTTCCTTCCTTTACTTTTAGGCCAAATAACAAATATTCATCTATATTCCTTTCTAATTTTTCTGTAGTTTTACTCATAGTTAACTCTTTATTCAAATTGGGATTTTGGTACATAGATATGTAGGAATATTTCATTTTTCACTCATGAACTTATTACTGTATCTCTGCAAAAAGAAAGGAAGTTATTACAAGAAGGATAGCCTTGTTGGAAGACTGGCCCACACAAGGGACTCAACGTGAACACACTATAATTCACTTACTCTGTTATTGGTGTATAAGAATGCTTGTGATTTTTGCACATTGATTTTGTATCCTGAGACTTTGCTGAAGTTGCTTATCAGCTTAAGGAGATTTTGGGCTGAGACGATGGGGTTTTCTAGATATACAATCATGTCATCTGCAAACAGGGACAATTTGACTTCCTCTTTTCCTAATTGAATACCTTCTATTTCTTTCTCCTGCCTGATTGCCCTGGCCAGAACTTCCAACACTGTTGAATAGGAGTGGTGAGAGAGGGCATCCCTGCCTTGTGCCAGTTTTCAAAGGGAATGCTTCCAGTTTTTGCCCATTCAGTACGATACTGGCTGTGGGTTTGTCATAAATAGCTCTTATTATTTTGAGATATGTCCCATCAATACCTAATTTATTGAGAGTTTTTAGCATGAAGGGCTGTTGAATTTTGTCAAAGGCCTTTTCTGCATCTATTGAGATAATCATGTGGTTTTTGTCTTCGATTCTGTTTATATGCTGGATTACGTTTATTGATTTGCATATGTTGAACCAGCCTTGCATCCCAGGGATGAAGCCCACTTGATCATGGTGGATAAGCTTTTTGATGTGCTGCTGGATTCGGTTTGCCAGTATTTTATTGAGGATTTTTGCGTCAATTTCATCAGGGATATTGGTCTAAAATTCTCTTTTTTTGTTGTGTCTCTGCCAGGCTTTGGTATCAGGATGATGCTGGCCTCATAAAATGAGTTAGGGAGTATTCCCTCTTTTTCTATTGATTGGAATAGTTTCAGAAGGAATGGTACCAGTTCCTCCTTGTACCTCTGGTAGAATTCAGCTGTGAATCCGTCTGGTCCTGGGCTTTTTTTGGTTGGTAAGCTATTAATTATTGCCTCAATTTCAGAGCCTGTTATTGGTATATTCAGAGATTCAACTTCTTCCTGGTTTAGTCTTGGGAGGGTTTATGTGTCGAGGAATTTATCCATTTCTTCTAGATTTTCTAATTTGTTTGCATAGAGGTGTTTACAGTATTCTCTGATGGTAGTTTGTATTTCTGTGGGATCGGTGGTGATATCCCCTTTATCATTTTTTATTGCATCTATTTGATTCTTCTTTCTTTTCTTCTTTATTAGTCTTGCTAGTGGTCTATCAATTTTGTTGATCTTTTCAAAAAACCAGCTCCTGGATTCATTGATTTTTTGAAGGGTTTTTTGTGACTCTATCTCCTTCAGTTCTGCTCTGATCTTAGTTATTTCTTGCCTTCTGCTAGCTTTTGAATGTGTTTGCTCTTGCTTCTCTAGTTCTTTTAATTGTGATGTTAGGGTGTCAATTTTAGATCTTTCCTGCTTTCTCTTGTGGGCATTTAGTGCTATAAATTTCCCTCTACACATTGCTTTAAATGTGTCCCAGAGATTCTGGTATGTTGTGTTTTTGTTCTCGTTGGTTTCAAAGAACATCTTTATTTCTGCCTTCATTTTGTTATGTACCCAGTAGTCATTCAGGAGCAGGTTGTTCAGTTTCCATGTAGTTGAGTGGTTTTGAGTGACTTTCTTAATCCTGAGTTCTAGTTTGATTGCACTATGGTCTGAGAGACAGTTTGTTATAATTTCTGTTCTTTTACATTTGCTGAGGAGTGCTTTACTTCCAACTATGTGGTCAGTTTTGGAATAAGTGCGGTGTGGTGCTGAGAAGAATGTATATTCTGTTGATTTGGGGTGGAGAGTTCTGTAGATGTCTATTAGGTCCACTTGGTGCAGAGCTGAGTTCAATTCCTGGATATCCTTGCTAACTTTCTGTCTCGTTGATCTGTCTAATGTTGACAGTGGGGTGTTAAAGTCTCCCATTATTATTGTGTGGGAGTCTAAGTCTCTTTGTAGGTCTCTAAGGACTTGCTTTATGAATCTGGGTGCCCCTACATTGGGTGCATATGTATTTAGGTTAGCTCTTCTTGTTGAATTGATCCCTTTATCATTATGTAATGGCCTTCTTTGTCTCTTTAGATCTTTGTTGGTTTAAAGTCCATTTTATCAGAGACTAGGATTGCAACCCCTGCCTTTTTTTGTTTTCCATTTGCTTGGCAGATCTTCCTCCATCCCTTTATTTTGAGCCTATGTGTGTCTAACGGAGAGCCAAATCATGAGTGAACTCCCATTCACAATTGCTTCAAAGAAAATAAAACACCTAGGAATCCAGCTTACAAGGGATGTGAAGGACCTCTTCAAAGAGAACTACAAACCAGTGCTCAACAAAATAAAAGAGGATACAAACAAATGGAAGAACATTCTATGTGCATGGATAGGAAGAATCAATATCGTGAAAATGGCCATACTGCCCAAGGTAATTTATAGATTCAATGTCATCCTCATCAAGCTACCAATTACTTTCTTCACAGATTTGGAAAAAACTACTTTAAAGTTCATATGGAACCAAAAAAGAGCATGCATTGCCAAGTCAATCCTAAGCCAAAAGAACAAAGCTGGAGGCATCACACTACCTGAATTCAAATTATACTACAAGGCTACAGTAACCAAAACAGCATGGTACTGGTACCAAAACAGAGATATAGACCAATGGAACAGAACAGAGCCCTCAGAAATAATACCACACATCTACAACTATCTGATCTTTGACAAACCTGACAAAAACAAGAAACGGGGAAAGGATTCCCTATTCAACAAATGGTGCTGGGAAAACTGGCTAGCCATATGTAGAAAGCTGAAACTGGATCCCTTCCTTACACCTTATACAAAAACTAATTCAAGATGGATTAAAGACTTAAATGTTAGACCTAAAACCATAAAAACCCTAGAAGAAAACCTAGGCAATACCATTCAGGACATAGGCATGGGCAAGGACTTCATGTCTAAAACACCAAAAACAATGGCAACAAAAGCCAAAATTGACAAATGGGATCTAATTAAACCAAAGAGCTTCTGCACAGCAAAAGAAATTACCATCAGAGTGAACAGGCAACCTACAGAATGGGAGAAAATTTTTGCAATCTACTCATCTGACAAAGGGCTAATATCCAGAATCTACAAAGAACTCCAACAAATTTACAAGAAAAAAACAAACAACCCCATCAAAAAGTGAGTGAAGGAATATATCTTTTAGGCCACACACAAAAAGTTCACTTATCTATGGTAAATTATTTCAAAGAATTTTTGACTATAAAGACATATTGGCCAGGCGCGGTGGTTCATGCCTGTAATCCTAGCACTTTGGGAGACCGAGGCGGGAGGATCACTTGAGGTCAGGAGTTTGAGACCAGCCTGGCCAAAATGGTGAGACCCCATCGCTAATAAAAATACAAAAATTAGCTGGGCGCGGTGGTGCAACTGTAATCCCAGCTGCTTGGTAGGCTAAGGCACAAGAATCGCTTTAACCCAGGAGGCAGAGGTTGCAGTGAGCCAAGATCACGCCATTGCACTCCATCCTGGACAATGGAGTGAGACTCCATCTCAAGAAAAGAAAAAGAAGAAGAAGACATATTGCACATTTTTACTCCCCTCCCAAAAAAATGTTCTATATTTGCTAATGTGCTCTGGGATGATGATTAGTTTTTAGAGTTTTTTTAATTAAATAACACATTAAATCTTCTTTCTTAAGGTTGAAATAGATGTCCGAAAATATTTCTGTCACTGTGAGATTTTGTTGTTAAAATGATAGAAGTGTGGCACCTACAAAAATTTCCTGAACACTTTAAAAGTTTTGGATAGAGTGTTTTAATCTGTTTAAAAATCTTCCAAATAAAATGTTTTGTAAGTTTTGAGCCTGATTGATTACAATTACATACCAAGAGCATATCAGAGGAGATTATAATGTACTGGTCAAATTTCAAAAATTATACAAATGGCAAAGGGGACTGAGAAAACCATACCATGATTTATGAAGAGGACCCAAAGACGGACTTCCCCTATGTGCATCGAAGCATCTCTATGAGGCATCCTTAGCTGCAGTTGACTGCCATGAAAACCGTATTTCAAATTAAACTGAATGTAGAATCCCAAGGTTCACATTTCTAGGTCAAAAAGCATTAAATCAAGAAGGACCAACAAAAAAAGCCAATAAAGCATATTCATACCATTGCTTTGAAAAGAATTTGGTATTAATCACAATATATTAGAGAGAGCACAGAGTTTGGGTTATTAATAAAGCTCTTATTTTTCGATTTTTAAATTTAATCTTCAGATGCTCTAAGAGTATTTAATAATGTATACATCGTATTAGTAAAGCAGTACATTCATATAGTAATAAATCAATAAACATGGATATATTTCTATGCAAATTCAAAAAGCTTTACTGATAGAGGTGCAATCAAAAAAGTTGGCAGCCACTATGAGGTTCCCCTTGTGTGAATCAGACAGGACAACAATGCTGTCCTTGGTCATAAAGGTTCCTCAGAGAGAGTATGAAGAGTCCATCACAACAGCTATCAAAACTGGCTCTTGCCACATAGATTCAGCTTCTGTCTATAAAAACGAAGAAGCAGTTGGATGGGCTATTTGTCAGAAGATTGCAATGGCACCGTGAAGAGAGAAGACATATTCTTGACCTCAAAGGTGCCTAGTGCCCTATGGACTCATCTTCTACCCCCAGCCTCTAACTCATTATTTTAAAAACACAAATCCAATATCATGACTTATCTCTGTAAAGATTTCCTGTCAGTTAAAGTTTAAGTTCACTGGCCTGGAACATGGGGGGATAGTGTAGGCCTTGCCAACTGTTAAATCAGGAACTGGAAAGGATCTGAGGTTTTTGCCCCAGTAGAAATATAATAGTCAGCTCCTGACAGTCATACTTGCTGACAATAGATAGACAGACACTGGCGGAAGACACAAGGGCCCTGCCTCAGGAGCTAAGATGGCTCACTACTCTTCAAAAGCAGCAGCCAGAGCCCCATCTGGTGCCTCGATCCCCAATTCCCACAGGTCAACTCCATGAGGGCCAAATGGCACCTGCACATGCATGGAGTGCATTCTAAGGGAGACACCACAAAATTAGAAAATTCTGATCTTACACAGAGCCACTGCTGACCTGTCTATTCTCCTCTCCAGAGAGAGATCACTCATGTAACGTAAGCCATTCTTTTTCAGAGAAAGGAAGGACAGTCTTCCTCTTTTTACCTTAAGATATCTAAAGAGAGATCTGACCCTATTCTTCACTTTCCTGGAATTTCACCTCATACAATGGCTGTAAATGCCTTTGCTCAGAAAACCCAGAATTGGCAGAAATATGAGAAGTGCGGGCAGAATTGTATCCCCACACTTAGATCTTTAGCCTCACCTCTCCTTTTCCTATGCTAATTCTAGCCAGAGGGGAAAAACTGTTGCTTTTTAAGACCATAGTGTTCTTCCAGGCCTCATGATTTTGTTTGCATTTCTGACTGTTTTTCTTTCTCTCACATATCAAATAACTACTCAATGTCTTATCTTATATCCAGTATATCCTGTGCCATGTCTTCCTCCCTGCCTCTTGGCCTCTGGTACCGAATGTAGTCGTAGCACATATCACACTCAACGTTTCATTTTCCATTTGTTGTGCCTGATATTTGTTGTGTTTCAACTGACAGAGTTGAGAATAGAAACGATGCTTCATTCATATTTGTATCCTAAACCCAATACATAGACTAACACATTGGGATTCAATTTATGTGGGTGAAATAAATGAATAAATTGTGACAAAACTTCAAAGACCATACATGATCTCGTTGATAAAATCCAAATTCCTGGCTGGGTGCAGTGGCTCACATCTGTAATCCCAGAAATTTGGGAGGCTGAGGCGGATGTCACCTGAAGTCAGGAGTTTGAGACCAGCCTGGCCAACATGGTGAAACCTCGTCTCTACTAAAAATACAAAAATTAGCTGGTCGTGGTGGTGGATGCCTGTAATCCCAGCTACTCAGGAGGCTGAGGCAGGAGAATCACTTGAACCAGGGAGGCGAAGGTTGCAGTGAGCTGAGATCACGCCACTGTACTCCAGCCTGGGTGACAAAGTGAGACTCCATCTCAAAAAAAAAAAAAAAAAATCCAAATTCCTTAGTATGTGTTTAAAGTGATCTGATTTCTACCCACCTTTTCAGCCTCATCTTCCACCACTCATCTCCATGCATTCTAGTCTCTGGTTGTGCCGACGAATTGCTACTCCCCTAGTGCATGCCTTCTTTCCACCTTGAAACACCATATAGAACATTGTAAAAGCTGCCTGAAATATTCCTCTCGTCTTGGGCAGTCTTTCTATTGAACCTTAGGCATTCATCTAAAATGTCTCCACCACCCTGGCCTGATCTTCCACACACTTTCTCTCTGTAGTTCTATGCTAACTTGTGTTACCTCAATTGAAGCACCAATTGCATTGAAATAATTAT